>NC_000012.12:69732855-69884370 GCF_000001405.40 Homo sapiens
AGAGTCTCGTTCTGTTGCCCAGGCTGGAATGCAGTGGCCTAATCTTGGTTCACTGTAACTTCCACCTCCCGGGTTCAAGCGATTCTCCTGCCTCAGCCTCCCTAGTAGCTGGGATTACAGGCACCCAACACCACGCCCAGCTAATTTTTATATTTTTAGTAGAGATGGGGTTTTACCATCTCTTGGACAGGCTGGTCTTGAACTCCAGACCTCAGGTGATCTGCCCAACTCAGCTTCCCAAAGTGCTGGGATTACAGGTGTGAGCCACTCTGCCCAGCCCCAAACATCCTCCTTTGAATGTAGATTTGATTTTTTGGAACAGATAAAATTGATCAGAGCCAAGTCTGGGTAATACTATGTATGGCAAAGGTAGATGATACTATCTTTAAAACTTGGAATTCTCATTGATTCCTTTCTCACCTTTATTTCTATATATTCAGTTGCTAGTGGCAGAAAACCCTACATAATCTGGCATAAGCGAAGATAAAATTACTGGTTCATGTAACTAAAAATTCCAGGGTCTCTGGCTTCAGTCACAGGTTGATCCAGGAAGTAAAATGATGTCATTAGGACTCACACTTCGTTTTCTTCTCTCTCAGATCTGCCGTCTCCATGTTAGTTCCATTTTTAGGCATATTCTCCAATGGGGGCAAGATTGTTGCCAGCAGCTTACATTTGATTTTCTCAGCAATCCACATAGATTCATTTTTCCCAACATTAACCCAAAACTCCCAGAACTGACTTTTATTGGCTCTACTTGAGTCATTTGCTTATCAATGAATCCATCACAGAGACTAGGATTCTCTGATTGGTCAAGCCTGGGTCACATATTCACCCCTGGAGTTGGGGGAATTCAGTTCCACTGGAATCATACAGACTAAATATGGTGGAAAGATGCTTCTCCAAGTAACATCAATGTGCTGATCTCAAAAAGGTATAATGGACGCTGAGTAAGCTCTGTGTGTGAGTGTGTGTGTGTGTGTGTGCATGAGAGAGGTGTGAGACATCTAATCACTTGTTGCATTAGACATCCTTTGAAATGTTTCCTCTTCTCTGTTTTGATGAAGTATAGGCACTATCTCATTGTAGCTTCCTATCTAATTTCCTTGCCTGTAGTCATTCTCTCCTCAAATATATTCTAGGCATTGCCAACACAAGTCTTCCTAAAGCATTGTTTTGATCATTTTACTCTCCAGCTCAAAAATCTTTCAGAAACCTTCTTCTATCAAATTCTATATTCTTCAGCCTGGCATTTATGATCTTTCCACAATCTGGCTCCTGCATATCTTTCCAGGCTTATCTATCCACCTGCACTTGTTCCATGAGCCAACTAAGCTGCATTGCTTACCATCTCTGAACACACTGCATGTTTTCCTAACACCGCCTTTGTTCTATTTGTATGTTCTACCCCATCACCATTTCTCTCATCCTAAGTCTCATGCCAGGTGATGAAGTAGAGACTGCTAGTTCTCTTTAATATACGTTCTCCCCTTCTTCATTAGTGTTAGAACCACTGATTTTTAGCTGGGCACATGGCTACCCAATAGAGACTACACTTGACCAAGGGAGCATAGTGTAGTGATGTATACAACTTCTGTAAGTGGCTTAGAATAGACACGTGTGTTCCTTTCTGCCCCTACCTCCTTTATGCTTGCTGGAAAAAGGATATAAGGAACTTGAACAGCCATGATGGATCATAAGGTAGAAGCTGCATTTCAGGATGGTAAAGCCACATGATGGAAGGAGCCCATGGATCTGCTGATTAGAGAGTCACCTACACTGATGTGAGAGTAATACATTTTATTTTCTTTAAGCTACTGTTACTTTGAGCTTTTTAACTGCTACAGAAATCAATCCCTGTATGAAAATATATAGTTTAGGATAATTTTCTGGTGGCAGTAATAGGAATCATTCAAAGCTATGTAAAGCAAAAAAGGGAGAATTATTTTAAGGACAGAAGGATTTCTCACAGAACCTATGGGAAGGGATGAAGGAAGCCTCAGTAATAGAGCGATAGCTGGAATTAAAAAGTAAGGGGAGGCCAGGAAGCCCTCTCACTGTGTCTCATCTCTCCTTCTCTTCCTTCTTACTGAAAATTATTTACACAGTTGTCACAGAGAAGCTACAAATAAATATTTGTTTGATGGATGGCAATTTGTGTGTGTGATAAACTGGATCTAAAGTCAATTCTCAAAACGTTTTGTTATATATATGTAGCTTGTTAAAGTGATTCTTTTGAAGGGGGGAATCATACTTTTTAGAGTCTAAGCTCTCTCTTAAACCCTTTCTCTCAGCTTTCCAATTTTTCCCAGTCACTTATTCCAACATCAGAAAGGGGGCCTGAAATACAGGATTGTCCATAATTAATATCATGACAGACACTTTTGAGATTGCTCTGCTTTTTTACAGGAGTTGCAAAAGTCAGTTTTTATGAGAACACAAGCACTGGCACTCACTGACTATTTTGGCAGACAAGGAAATGATAGATTAATTACTTTTGGTACATTTTTCCCATAACTGTCTTTTTTTTCCATTTCATTTTTGCATTGTTACTATTTACCAGTCTGAGTTCTCACTTACACCTAGTTTTTGCCCTTCAGGGTTTCTTATATTCTTGCCAACTCTTTGATATGCTTGATAAGATGTTTTATATATATTTATATATATTGCTTTGGGTTTGAGAATCAGCCAGAGCCTCTAGTCTGCCATACTACTGGACACAAAAGTTCAATATGTTTTCACTTCATTCGTTTATAAGATATTAACCTGCATTCCAAACACCAGGGCCCTAACTCTGGTGGCCTAAGCTCCCCATCCACAAAAATGAAGAATAACTACCTTTCCACCTGCATCAAATTGTTTTTTGTACAAGACTCATGTAATCATTAACATGAAGTCAGTTTGCAACTGGAAAATACCATGAAAATACATTTTCTTAACTCTGAAAACAAAACAGAGGCAAACAAGTAATAAAAGTTATAACTAAGGGTAACAACCTTAGAATGGTTTGTTCAATTTACAATGTCTATATATTTGCACTCATCTGCTTTTTTTCTGGCCCAAGGTATAAATGAGAAAGTCTTAAGATAAAAAAAAAGCAATATTATTTTATACGTTATATTTGACACTAATTGTATAATTTACATTTTTAAAAAATAAAGAGAAAAAAATAAAGAGAAAAAGGCAACCTTGAGCACACTATAAAATCTTTCACTCTTTTTTTTTTTTTTTTGAGATGGAGTCTCACTCTTGTCACCCAGGCTGGAGTGCAATGGCGCGATCGGCTCACTGCAACCTCTGCCTCCCGAGTTCAAGTGATTCAAGGTTCAAGTGATTCTCCTGCCTCAGCCTCCCGAGTAGCTGGGATTACAGGTGCCAGCCACCATGCCCGACTAATTTTTTATGTTTTTGGTAGAAATGGGGTTTCACCATGTTGGCCAGACTAGTCTTGAACTCCTGACCTCAGGTGATCTGCCCACCTCAGCCTCCCAAAGTGCTGTGATTACAGGTGTGAGCCACCGCGTGCGGCCTTTTGTTTTGTTCTTTTGAGACAGGGTGTCACTCTGTCGCCCAGGCTGGAGTGCAGTGGCGTGATTTCGGCTCACTGCAGCCTCCGCCTCCCGGGTTCAAGTGATTCTCCCACCTCAGCCTTCCAAGTAGCTGGGACTACAGGTGTGTGCCACCATGCACAGCTGATTTTTTTTTTTTTTTTTGGTAGAGATGGGGATTCACCACGTTGGCCAGGCTGGTCTCGAACTCCTTACCTCAAGGATCTGCCCACCTTGGCTTCCCAAAGTGCTGGGATTACAGGCATGAGCCACCGTGCCCATCCAAATCTTTCACATTTTTAAATTTTGTGAAATAGCTGTCCTTTTTATATATGGGTAAGCTATCAAACTTAAGATGCTCACAGCCCTTTACATACTTTGTAGGCTGAGATTCTGAGTGTCTAATATTCTGTAATGTATCTTGGTCTCTGTGCTGCAAGAACACTGAAGTATTATTATAGGTAACAATCTATATCACTCTTCTCAAACAGCGCTAACAGGTTAAGTATTCAAGAGGAACATCTTTCAGTATATTTCAAAAAGCCTCATGGATGGTAGGTGATTTGTAAATGGACCAACGCAGGACTCAGGCATATATGGTTACTGCTTACTATTTCCTATAGATCATGATGTCTTAGGTCTTATGTAGAATATATCATAGGACTTGTCCTCTAAACATTCACATACCAAGACTGCACTCTGCATGCATGCCATTCACTCATTCTGCATTTACTGAGTCAGTCCTACTGCATGTCAGACCTTGTGCCTGTTCTCAAGAAGCTCGCAGTCCAGGAAAATGGAGAAATACAGATACAATTATAACTCTATGTGATAAGTGTTACAAAGAGATACGGTGTTATGGAAGCCCTGGTAGGGGCACTTAGCCCATACTGGAGTGGCTGGGATAGGGCTGAGTGGCCAACAATAGGGAAGGGTTCACAGTGGAATTGATGTCTAGGCTAAATAATGAATAACAAATAATTAGCAAGGCAAGGAAAAGGTAGGAGATCAAGACATAAAAATAAACAGCATATGGAAATACAGGGTTGTATGTGAGTACGGCAAGACTGGGGAGCCTAAGTGGTTTGCTGTATATTTAATTTATTCATTTCACGTAGCTACTATTGACATACTTGTCTCCCTATATATGTTTGAGTCCGTGGATGGTGGGGACTTTGTAATGGTTTCTCTGTCCCTATGTCTAACAGGAGGCACACAGATGGAGTGCAATAAAATGTCTGATGAATAAATGACCAGCTATGAGGTGTAAGGGAGAATAGGAATCCATTAATGAGAAAGGTCATTTCTAGTGGCAATGAATATCAGATAAGATAGATTTAAGAATTATTTAGAAATTAGGATGAATAAGACTTGGTGATATATTGGCGATGGGGTATAAAATAAGAAACACTGGCTTTCTAGGTTTCTGGATTACAGATGCATGATAATAGTTATAATGGTATAATAACAATAGCTAATATTTATTAGGCACTCTGTGTCATGAAGTACGCAAAGTGTTTACATGAATTAAGCCATTTAAACTCTTAATGACTCAGTGAGGCAGGTTCTGTATACTCATTCACTGATGAGAAAATTGGGGCTAGAGAGATTCATTTGCCTAAGGTCACTCAGCTAGCAGGTGGCAGGCTCAAGCCCAGTAATTCTGACTCCAACAACCATACATATAGTCTACTTTTCTTTACTGCCTCTAATAGATGAGATTAATACCCAGAATGATGGTCCTATTCAATAAGTGTATCACACAAATGCACGTTTCTCTTTTGCTAAACATAGAGACACATACTATGACTACCTCTATTATTATTATTTTTTTTTGATTTTTGGGATCTTGGCTCTTTCTGTATTTTTCCTACCTGGAAGACCTAAAGTGGGGTAGAAGTTTGATAAAACAGTTGGCACAAAAGATGAGAGAAGACAGGTACAGACATGACATTCTCGAACGCTCTGGCAGTTGCTGGAATGATGGGATCTGGGTTCTACAGGATTCCTCCCCTCCCATCTCCCGCCACACACACACACGTCGTAAGGTGTATATGGCCGCGGAGTCTCAGGTTGGTTCTAGGAGTCCTCAACCCACGGCAAAGGTGCCTCTTCTCCCTCCTGGAGAGCCCAACATGCTTGAAGTTAACCTGAGGCCGCCTCTCGGGCCCGGCGAAACAGAGCGCGGGCCCGACGAAACAGAGCGCGGGCCCGACGAAACAGAGCGCAGCTCCGGCTCGCGCTGGTTCCCAGGGAAACCGCCCGCGGAGGAACCTCGGGCCAGGGCCGTGACACCTGCGACGAGCCCCGCCTGGCGCCAGGGGGCGCGGAAGCGCGTCCGCCCCCAGGCCCCATGCCGGGCTCGCCCCGCCCCTGCCGGCCACACCCCCCTACCCCGCCCTCCCTCCGTGAGGACCGGCCGCTCCCGGCTCCCGGCCCCCGGCCCCGCTTCCGGCGCAGGCGCAGTCCCGCGTTCCCTCGGCGGCTGCCGGCGTAGTGAGCCCGCCGCCGTGGAGTGTAGCGGAAAGGGCTCGCCGTCCTCCTCCGTTTCTCGCTGCTTCGGGACGCGCTCTCTGCGGCTCTGTGAGCGCCCCTGAGCGCCGGCAGCGGCCGCGGTGGGTTCTTCAGGTGAGTGCGGCCGCGGGAGGGAGAGGCCCGGAGCGTAGAGCACCGCCCCCCTCGGCGCCCGCGCGCCCGCCTCTGGCGAGTCGGCCAGGAGGGGCGGCCGCGGCAGGTGCAGGTGCTGGCGCCGTGCAGGGCGCGGCACGCGGGGGTTCGGGGGGATGCCCAGGCCCGGTGAGCTCGCTCTCCGCCTGGGCACTTGGGCTCCGGGCCCTTGGGGGCGGCGTGTGGGGGGGACTTTGGCGACCCGGGTCAGCCGGCCGCCCCCTGGGCTGCTGGTGGGCGTCGGGCGGCGGCTCCTCCCCCGGGCACGGGCGCGTTACACATTAACTGCGCGGTCCCGCGCGCCCGGGGCAGGGAGCCCGAGTCCAGCGGGTTACCTGGCGGCGGGCGGGCGCGGCCGGGAGCGGAGGGCCGCGGTCGCGAAGAGGATGAAGAGAGAGTTCCCGAACAAGTCGGAAGCAGCTCACAACACCGGACGCCGCGCGGCAGGGCTGTGGACCTGGGGTGGTTTCGTGTCCCAGTCTTAGGAAACTACGCGCGAGGCACCGTGCTGAGGCGTAGAGGTCACCCTCGGGAGGTTTCGGTGAAACCTGGTGGGAAATTCCGGGCAGGCGCCCGGAGTCGCGCCCAAGTAGGCAGCTCCGTGCCGCCAGACTTGTGTTCGGGGGAGTTGAGACGAACTGCACGGGTGGGATTGCATGGCTCTGCCCTCCCAGCGTTGACAACTCGCCCCGACCGCCCAGGAAGCGCGAGCTTACTGGCTCCAGAAGTGATGATGCTGGGTGGAAGTCGCAGCATGTGAAGAGTTGCCGGTTGTTATGGGATTAAAAAAGATGAAAGGGTAAGGTCTTGAAAGACACGAGCGCTGAGTTAGTTAGTACTGATTACTGAGAGGCAATTTAGTTTCATGGAAATGTTGCCTGTTCGGAGGCTACCTGTTATACACTCTCCTGTTTCACCCCAACTCCTTCCGTTCAGTGTCGGGTTAAAAGCCTTGTAATCTCTTGCAGTGGAATGATTGCATAATTGGAGGAGGGGCCCATAAGAGGATTACAACAAAACTGTTCCATTGTAAATCAGTTGAAAGACCCAGTTCTTGTTCATTATCCTTTTTCTCATTTTGTTGTTCATGAAGGTTTTTTTTTCTTCCAGTGCTGAATGACAAATCAAGGAGAAAAGAGGCAGAATAGGGTTGTAGACCAATCGTAGTAAATATTTGATACTGTTAAATATTTCACCAGTTTTATGGGGCCTTGTTCTGTTATCATTTGTTATTTATTTACTAGTACTGTGCATTTTGATAGGACTTTTCATGTTTGGACAGACAGTGTATTCCAGATGCGGCTTATGTGATCTAATCCTAAAGCCCTTGTGGAATTTATAGAAATAAACAGTTATACAATTAAGTAGTCCATTTTTTAACTATTAAATGAAAAGCCATTGCATTTTTTTCCATTACAGTAATGTTACATATTAATGTATACCTTTGTGAACCAAAGTGTTTGATACAACTCTTCCTTCTGTGTTTGGTAAACAACTCATCTGTGGTACTGAATACTTGTAATCTTTCACCAGGATGGCCATTTAATGTTTAGCTGCTTTGTGGGATTTCTGAATAGATCCTATTGTACTTTTTGAATTAGTGCAGTTATCCATATGTTTCCTTTAATATTCTTTACCTTTGATTTTGTCTAAACTCTCATCCTCCCCCAACACACACATCCTCTACAAATAATTTTTAAAATGGAAAGGTTCTTAGAAATGTTTCACCCCCTCATTTTTTAAATATGGCACGAAAAAATACTTTGTAGATTACAGTAGTTTTATATGCATTATAGTAGTTACTATACTTTTTTCCTCCTCAACAGGAGTCAGTGAACAAATTAGTGAGCTGGCTGAATGAAAAATTATTTAATGTTCAGCTCCATCACTTACTGTGCATAAAACCTTGAGTAAAACATTTAACCTGTTTGAGCTTATTTTCTCCATTTGTCAGTGGAAATACTATTAGGTTGAAATTGCTAATATTCTGCTGTTTTTTATGTTTCAACCTAATATGAACTTCATAATGGTAAGATGAGGATTTAATAACATACTCCATTAGAGATGTGGGGAAGGGGAGAAGGAACCAGTGTGAGCTTGATTGTGTGCAAGGCACTGTGTGTGCTTGTTTTCGATACCTTGACTCCTCAGTCCTCTGGACATTCCCGGGATATAGGTGGTTTATCAAATTTTACAAGTCAGGAAATGGAGGCTTAGAAAGTTGCGATAATTTGTCTATGGTTACTTAGTTGTAGGTGGTCGTACAGCTGGCCAGTGACAGAGCCGGTATTAAAAACTGTATCCGACTGCCCAAAATGGAACGTAGTGCTTTTGTTTCTTACATTCCTGGTCTGCACCTTCTATTAAAGAGCTTTGTAACTATAAGGAGGCACACAGATGACAAGTGTTACCATTTGTATTTCTGGTTTAAAAATATCCAAGTTTTCTGAAGACGGTGATACCAGCATTGCTACTACAGTTACTTTTAAGTCTAGTGCTTATCAAGCGAAGTCCTGGTGTAAGCTTTATACTCATTTACTCTCAGAGTGAGCGAGGAGATAATACTTTATCCCTATTTTGTAGTTGAGAAAATTGAGACCCTGAGACCTTATGTAGTTTGCTCAACGTCACATAGTTAATTAAGTGACAGGTCTAGATTAGATGTCAGACAGTTTGTCTTCCATGTCTGTGCTCTTAACCACTACACTCTGTCATTTCTTCATGTATAAGTGGTAATGCTAAAGAATTGTTTGCTCATAATCACTACATTATCACTTCTTTATGTGTAGCTTATAATGCTGAAGAACTTTGTAATTTAGCTTTTATGAGATACGTAATGTTAATGTAATATGTAATTCTCATTGTGTCACCAGAGATTTTTTTAAATCAAATACTCATTGAGCATCTACTCTGCAAGTCACAGTAGGGGTTAAAGGAAACTGTTCTTAAGGAATATGGAAGGTAGGGCCTTATAATCATTCCCATATCTTTTATAAGTTCTTCAAAATGTAGAACGCACTTTACATATTTTAATGAATGTCAACTAAGACAAAGTGCTAGGATAGTTGAGTAGTGGAGAGGAAGGACAGATGGATAGTGGGTAGAGATATTTGTGCATTGAGGTAATGAGGGAAAGCTTTGAAGATATTCCAAGGGAGTACGCTTTTTCACACTAAACTTTTTTCCGATATAATTCTGATTAAGATGCAGTTCATCAAAGGATAGTAAATTGGTTACTACGCATTTGATATCCTAAAAACAAAATATCTGAGCTTTTGTAAACTGCTTTCTAGCTTGTTTCTCCTTTTTTATGCTACTATCCTTAGTTGTACCAGATGGTACTCTTTTTAAAAATTTTATGCTTTTATAATACTGAGTACCTCTTTTTTGGTATTTATGAACTTTGATATTTGTGTTGTATTTGTAATTGTTTCTAGGGCCCTAGAAACATGTTTATTGGCAAGGTGGTCTCTTCCTCTAGTCTACAAGTGCTTCGAGAGTAGGGCTTACCTCATTTTATAGCTTTAACATCGGGCCAGGTAAGTACTGTGCTGTGTTTGGTGATGGATGATCAGTTGAAGAATGTTAGGATGTTTTGAAGCTGCTCTAGCAGTAGAAATTGAAATGAACATTGAGAAATGAAGGGACAAAGGAAGGAAGAGGAAGATATTTATACAACTGGGAGCATTAACTTGCTATCTCTATTTTCCCTTCTGCTTTCCTTTTCAACTTACCACTAAATGAGGTAGTTTTATAAGCTTACATCGTACATAGTCATGGTTAGAGAAAAGTGGAAAAAGTAATCTGATTTATCTTAGAATATAGGGCAACACGAAATTAGATAACTATAGCCGTAAACTGATATTACTTAGAGGAAAAAGAATGAAAATTATTCAAATAGTTCAAGTTCATGAAAGATTTGATGCTTGTCGTTAACAGTAGGATTGTAAATATAATCATAATGGCAGTTGATGAAATTCCTCTGAGGGGTATGGATACATACACAAATAAGTATATGAATTGACAGCTTAGTATGAAGAAACTATTCAAGAATGTGAGAATGCCCTATGAGCATAAAGGAGCATATAGATGATAGCTTAGAACCACTTAAATAAGTGAATTGTAATTTGATATGCCCAGATAAAAGTAATAGTATTGAATATTTGTTTGGGAGCATCTGGTTGTCAGATAAGGATAAAGTATAAAAGAAAAACCAAAATAAGTTTGAAAAAACAATAAGCAAATTTGTATCAATTCCCTGTGGGGAAAAGAATCATATTTGAACTACATGCCTCATAAAGACTAGTTTTCCCTTTCTTTCCTTTTACCTAAGATAAATAAAGATACCTTCTGATTTGTAAGACAAACCCCTCAGTATGCTTTTGCTATTTCCCCCATTACATTTTTTTCTTTCTTAGATCTTTATAAAATCATACATTTATGTTGTGCTTTACAATGTATACATTTTTACATTGATATGCCATTTGATTTTCTCAAATGTAGGCAGGGGAGATAATATCACTACCATTATAGATGTCAAAACTGAACCTTAGAGAGATTAAATGACTTGCGTCAGTTCACACAGCTTGTCAGTGACAGAATCTGAACTAGAAGGAAGGTTTTCTGAAGTTAGTCTGTTAAAATGCTCAGGTTTTCTCAAACTTCAATTTCTCCAGTTTTGATACTCTCGCAAAGTATTTACTGTTTCATTTCTATCTTTTTCAGCAAAAATGTAGCCTGAATAACTGTCTCCACTCTTTACCGCTTTGCTATTCATTCCTTCTCTAAAGACTCTTGTTTATTTATTTAGTCAGTGCGTATTTCAGCACCTGTTGAATGTTTAGTTGGCATATATTCTTAAGAGAATATGTAAAATGAAGCTTCCATTATTGAGAAAAAGAAATTTGGAAAATGATTTTTTTAAAAAATTATACTTTTAAGTTCTGGGATACATGTGCAGAATGTGCAGGTTTGTTACATAGGTATACACGTGCCATGGTGGTTTGCTGCACCGGTCAACCCATCATCTACCTTAGGTATTTCTCCTAATGCTATCCCTCCCCTAGCCCGCCACTCCCCCACAGGCCCTGGTGTGTGATATTCCCCTCCCTGTGTCCGTGTGTTCTCATTGTTCATCTCCCACTTATGAGTGAGAACATGCGGTGTTCTGTTAATTTAAATAAATATTTAATTACAAATAAATATTTGTAATTAAATATTAGCTCATTGTATTATTACAAATAATTATTTGTAATTAAATATAATATTAGCTCATAAGTTCAGAACATTTTCTGAAAACTGTCAACATAACACACTGCAATAACTAACATCTCTACACATGTCAGGTTGTACATTGAAGTGTTGTGGAATTAGGCCGGGCATGGTGGCTCACACCTGTAGTCCCAGCACTTGGGAGGTTGAGGCAGACAGTTACTTGAGGTCAGGAGTTCGAGACAAGCCTGGTCAACATGGCAAAACCCCATCTCTACTAAAAATACAAAAAATTAGCTGGGTGTGGTGGCAGGCGCCTGTAATCCCAGCTATTCAGGAGACAGATGTTGCAGTGAGCCGAGATTGTGCCACTGCACTCCAGCCTGGGCGACAGAGCGAGACTGCATCTCAAAAAAAAAAAAAAAAAAGTATTGTGGAATTAGTGGGAATTCATTTGTGATCTATTATAATAAAAATGGGAAAATTGTGTAGCCTGATTGACCATTTGAGTAATTTTGCCCTTGGGCTATTAATTACATTTGCATTTATAAACATAGAATGCTTCTTAAAAGATAAATGTGATTTTTTTTGTCATAACTAAAATGCTAGTTTGGGAAGCCAACTTTAAAATTATTATGAAAGCTAATGAAAAAATGATTTTATATATATACTTGTTTTGTTTTTTCCTCCTTTATTATACAGTATTTGAATAAATTTTGAACTTTCCTTTTTATTTTGAGAGCACTATAAATTATGGAGAGTTTCAAATAAGGTAAGTAGACACAATAGTATAATGAACCTAAAAGTTTCCATCATGTAGCCCAGTAACTATCAACAGTGATCAGTCCTCATCCATCCACTTCTCCCACTTCTATATTATTTTGAAACAAATTGCAAGTCCTGTGTAATTTCACCTGTAGGTATTTCAGTATTTCCCAAAGATAAGAGCAGTTAACTGCAGTACTTTTACAAACTTTGTTCTTTATTTATTTTTTCATTTTAATCTACATTTCCTGCTTTTATTATTACAAATTTTCAAAAATTAACACTAATTCCTTGGTATAAAATATCTACACTTTTTAAAAAAATACACAGGAATATGGGTACTATAGTAAATTCAAGTTTCTGTTTATTTTGATTTATGTGCTGTTTTTTTTTTTCCAAGTCCTGTAAGGAGCTGAATAAGTATTAAATTCTGGCATAGTAACAAAACAGAGGAGGAAATGATAACAAAAATAATATAGGGGAAAATAATAGAACACAAAGCAATAGCAAATGCTCATTTCAATAGCAGTGCTTTAGAGAAACTTCAGTTTTGTCTTTGTGAAAGTAAGAGAAGGGTTCAGAGATTAAACATTATTATTCTGTTTGGATTGTTCACTTCTTTTTTTTTAAACTTTAAGTTCTGGGATACCATGTGCAGAACATGCAGGTTTGTTACATAGGTATACACGTGCCATGGTGGTTTACTGCACCCAGGATTGTTCACTTCTTAGAGATCCTTTGCTGTGCTTTAACCTTTATTCCCATCTCCCTACTCCCTATCCATTTCAGCTTCTAAGTGTATCTCAGATGTAGTGGAGTTAGGTGTTAGAGTCAGACACACCAGAGTTTGAATACTAGCTCTGTTACTTTTTGTGTATTTGACAAAATTAATCTCTCTCAGCCTCTTTTTTTTATATATCTGTAAAGTAGGGATAAGAACCATTTCAAATGAATGCTCTGAAGATTAACTGGAATAATTGTGTGTTTGTGAATAAATATAAATGAAGCTGTTCTGAATGTTTTCCATACGTATATATGCCTCCATCCCCTCATTCCCAGTGCATGACCTTGGCATTAGATCAGACAGTAATCGTTTAACCAGCCTCTAGTCTCCAGTGAAGTTCTCATTGCCTTGGGAGTCATTTTTAAATGACTACATTACAATACATCTATACTTTCTAAAATGTAGATCTCACCATCTCTTCAGGATAAACTTTAAGCAACATTTTCTCTTTTAAAGAAGGCTTTTAATGGTCTGTCACAGTCTGCCTCTCCAGCCTGCTTTTCTGTTACTGTCTCCTTTGTTAGTTTTGTTAGTGCCAGACCCTTATTCCCTGACTGTCCTATCCTATTCCCCTTGCCCATCTACTGGACTTGTATTCAGCACTGAAAATCTGACTTATATTTTACTTCTCTTTGAGACATTCTCCTCTTCCCTCTTCCCTCCCCACAACCCTCAGAATAATCATGCCGTGGCTCGTAGAGGCTGTGTGCCATCTCTTTGGTCCATTTGTATCTGTATTCTTAGCACTTAGTATCAGGATTTGCCCGGAGGTGTTGAAGCTGGCAATCATCCTTCCATTCCAACAAGAATAAATATAATTTATCACATATATGTATGAAATAAATGTATTTAATATGTATAATAAATGTTGAAGGTTTTTAAAGAAGTGATGGAATTTGTAACTAATTCATGGAATTTATAACAGTTCAATTCATTATATGCTATTGAAGTAGCAGTCTCATTTTTAATCTCAGAAACTGTTTCTTTCATAATTCATGTTAAATTAAGAAGTCATTTGGGAATTTAAAAAGCATCTGGACTTTCCTCCCTGCCCCCCTTCCACAACTGTCTGTGAATAAATTGAAAGAGGAAAATAGTGCTTACATAATCTTAAACCTTTTCTTTTGACATGTCTTGGAATATTTAATTTCTATTATTGTGATAATACAAGTAAAACAAAATTATACTACAGGATTTATAGATGTTTACTTTTTTTGAGGAAAATCACTCAAAACAATAAGCTTTTAAACCCAAACTCAACAATCATTGCTTTTTGTTCTTAGTGATAGTGCTTGTGCTGATACAATATGATCAAAATATTTGGCCAGTATTAGGAAATGTCCTAGAGATGATTATAATAGTAAGAGCCAGTCTTAATTGGTAAGTGCCAGATATGGTGCTAAGCTCTTTAATTCTCATGACTACCTTAGGAGATAGGTACAGTTTTCTCCCCTTGCCCTTTCGTGTGTGTGTGTGTGTGTGTGTGTGTGTGTGTGTGTGTGAGAGAGAGAGAGAGAGAGGATCTTTCTCTGTTGCTCAGGCTGGAGTGCAGTGGCACAATCACAGTTCGCTATAGCCTCAACCTTCCTGGCTCAGGAGTAGCTGGGACCACAGGCGTATGCCACCACACTCTGCTAATTTTTAAATTTTTTGTAGAGATGGGGTCTCGCTATGTTGCTTTTGGTTGTTGCTTAAACATCTTGGGCACAAGCAACCGTCCTGTCTTGGCCTTCCAAAGTTCTGAGATTACAAGAACCACTGTGCCTGACCTGTCATCTCCATTTTTAGATGAGAAATTGAGACTTAGATCTTCAGGTCACTTTATTAGTAACTGGTGAAGCCAAGATTTGAGACTGATTCCAGAGTACAAGCTATTTCATGAGATAGTGAATACTGGTTAAGTTACCCTGTTGGCTTTTCTTCTAGTAGACAAGTACATTCCTTTATCTACCAGGATTATTTGATCCAATTCTACACTGAAATAGATGAAGATATTTGGGCTCAGATAAGTTACCTGCCCAGGTTCATAGATAGATCTCAGAGCTTGATCAGGAGCCTTAGCTTTCTTCTTCAGGTACTGATGCTTCTACTCTGCTGTGTTGCCATATTACCTCCTTTGTTGGAAATGATTTACTTTCTGAGTGTAGTGCTTTGAGGAATTTTAGTAAACATAGAATTCAAATTATTTAATTTTCACATATATTAAATTGATATGAAAAAAGATAAAAATCACAGCTTTAGTTTTTTTTTTTTTTTCTAAAATTAAAATTCTATGTTTCCCATTTGTCAAGGTAAGTCCAAATTAGGGGAATGTGCTTTTTGTGGAAAAATGGATTTTATTTTTTCTTTTGGACTACTGATATAAATCAAGTTGCTAGATTTCATTTAAAATATGTATATGCATTTTATTCATGTTCTTCAGATGTTTCATTGAAAATATTTTCCCATTAATTCTGATTTCTTGAGTTGTCCTAGGGATGGCTTTTGTTTTCAAGAAACATTTTAAAAATTCACTTTAATTAGAAAAAGTAAATTTCATAAGTTATTAGGATCTTTCTAGGCATTTATTAAATGAGTTAATATGTATGAAATTCTTAGCACCACTATCTGACAACATAGTTAACCTTCAGTAAAGATTGGCTGTTGTTTTTGCTGTGATAGTACTGATTTCGAGAAAGAAAAATTAACAGGAAATGCATATTAGGGATCAGAAGCAAATTGTTTTGATCAACTTTTTCTTGTGGTCTGCAGTCTGCTTTATTACCTGGAGCTCAGTAATAAGGCCAGCCAAGTTGTGTTGGTGATTCACCCATAAGAATTTAATGTGATCATCTTTTTTACATATTGGTCATGATCCTTGACAAGTTTAATTTACTAATTGGGATAATCAGTTGAAATTAGTTCTTTTTGAATCACTCATTGCTTAATGCGAAAGATACTACTGCTTAAAAATAGTAGTTTATTTTACTCTTATAAAGACGTATGTGAAATAAATCTTAAAGCTTCTATGTATTTAAAGGGCAAAAGATTTTCAGACCAGTGAGATTGGCAGCTCATTACCAGCTAAATTACATTTTATGGAAATTTTATGTGCTTGAAAAAGGGATTAAATTTAATCTCAAAATAATCTCCTTTTCAGAAGTGACTTGAATTTAGACAGTATTTAAATGTATCCCCCAGAAGGGAAACATTGTAGGTTAGAAGCACTGCTCAGAGGCATTGTCCTAAGTGCTATATAACAGGGGTCCCCAGTTCCTGGGCTGTGGACCTAAAGTGGTCTGTGGCCTGTTAAGAATTGGGCCACACAGCAGGAGGTAAGTGGCAGAAGGTAAGTGGCGGACAAGCGAGCATTCCCACTTGAGCTCCACCTCCTGTCAGATCAGCAAGCTGCATTAGATTCTCATAGGAGTGCGAACCGTATTGTGAACTGCACATTGCAAGGGATCTAGGTTGCATGCTTCTTAAGAGAATCTAATGCCTGATGATCTGAGGTGGAACAGTTTCATCCCGAAACCATCTCCTCCCACCCTCTGCCCTGTCTGTGGAAAAATTGTCTTCCACGAAACTGGTCCCTGGGGCCAAAAAGGTTGGGGACTGCTGTTATGTAGTATTATCCCTTTTAATTTTCATTCTGTTAGGTAGCAAAACCAAGACACAGATTTCCAGATGGGAGAACCTAGGCTCAGATTGTCTCAGTAATTTGACAGAAGTGGGATTCAAACCTGCCTCTCTTCGAGACTTGTACTTTATATTCATAGCTTGTGCTCCAGCTAATGGAGTAACTGCGTTTTGTATAAATGCTTTGCTTTCACATGGTGGACATGTCTGGAAAGCCCTTACAAAGGTTTTGTCTTTCTCATTTCTTGCTTGTTGTTTGGATCTTTCCTTTGGCTTTATTTTTTCGGGAATCCTTTGTCTCTGATTTATTTGTCCTTCCCGTGTGGTCTCTGAGTTTATTTGCATCTTCTGTGGCATTTATCACATATCATTGCCTCTACTTGTCAGTCTCCTACTCTAATAGGCTGTTTGAAGGCAGAGTAGATTTTTCTTCTTTCCCCAGATCCTGGCACAGAGTAGGTCATTAGTAAATACTTGCTGAAAGAATGGCTGAAATACTGTGTTTATATGTGGGAAAAATAGGGTTAATGTTGCAGGCATGATGGATTTTAATTCAAAACTAAGAGAAACATTTTCACTAGAACAGTGGAACAATGGAGTGGCAAAGCAGTTCTACTTGTAAGTGTGTCGTGGTGGTTAAGAGCTTGGACAGTAGGGTCTAATAACGGTAGGCTTTAATTCTGACTACTCTAAGCTGCAGTTTCCTCAACCATAGATGCGCTATGCTTAATATTTAGTAAGTGCTCAACGAATACTAGCTGTTATGGGAGGAGCCACCTTAACTTCCTGTGAGATTGGGGCTGGTAGTTGAATGACTTGGCTCCTTGGCTTCCCATTCCCTTCCTCTCTCCCTGGATTATTTTGAAGCAAATCCAAGTAATCTTATTTCATCTATAAATACTTCAGTGTGTATCTTTTTTAAAAGATAAGGATTTTAAAAATACAACCATTATGCCATTATTATCCCTAAAATTAACTATAATTCCTAATAACATAATTTGTTTTTACAGTTGGTTTATTCAAAGAAGAATCCAAACAAGGCCCACAGATTGTGTTTAGTTAATTCTCTTAAGTTTATAAATTCCCTCTACCTCGTTTTTTTTTTTTTTTTTTTTACAGTTTATTGGAAAAACCAAGTAGTTTGTTTATGATGAGAGTTTCCCAAAGTCTAGATTTTGCTGTTTTTGTCCCTGTGGTGTTATTTAACATGTTCCTTTCTCCTCTGTATTTACTATAAACTGATGACCATCAAGAGGCTTGTTTGATTTGGGGTCTTTCTTTTTTTTTTTTTTCTTAGGCCAGAATGCTTTATTAATGGCAGTGATGTTCATTTCTTATTTGCCACATAATATACATAATGTTTGATTGTCTCCGTTTTTGTGACAAGATGTGATCAGTGAGTTCAGGTACTGTCATTCTGATTGATTAACTATAAAGTTCCTCAAACAACCTTTTACCTTATGGTTTTAATAGCTATTTAAATAATTATTGCCCTAAATCCATTATTTCATTAGGATTCCAAAGTTATATTTATTAAGTGGAATTCTGCTAAAAAGAACTTTTTCTCATGAGCTGTTCAGTTCTTTGATATACAGGAAAGCCAGATAAAATACTTCATTCTTTCATTTTATTTACCAATTTTGAAAATAATGAATTGGTTCCATAGCATTGATCAGAGAAGGCCAGTGAGGTACTTTGCTTTATTTTTAGTGTCATTATGACCTCATGGATTTAAAAATATTTGCCTTTCAGTTCTTTGCAGATATTATCCTTTTTGATGTTCAGATTGTCCCGTTTTTGGTTAGTGGGAGTCCGTTTGATATCAGTCCAGTAGTTTTTGATGGTGTGCTTGCTTTCTGGTATAACAAGATGTTCCAGGGTCCTTTCGTACATTTCTGTCCCAGGCTGGAATCAGCCATTTTTCCCAAGGAGCCTGTGTTCTTTTTTTTGGAGGACATGGTATTACTCTGAGTACATGGGTGCGCATGGCTCCTGAGTTGGTCAGCGTTGCTATGCTGACCAACTTTTCATTGGATAAACTTAGAATTTTTTTTCTGGTGTTTCTGAGTAAAATTTAGGCCTCTAGGATTTAAATTCTTTGATTTTATATTTGTAGTTTTTCTAATATGCTGAAAATCTTAGTTCCAAATGACATTAGCATAACTTATTTGCTTCATCTTATAACAAAGTTTCAGAATCACAGTATCAATATTACTACTGTTATTAACATTGAAAATAGGTTGTGACTTTTTTCACTTCCTTTTGCTTTTAGAATACATTCCATTAGGGATATATATTTATGTTGTTATGTTTTAAAATCACTCGAAGTAGTTCTTTTCTGTGTGGTTAAGCTACCATCTCAGTACACAAGTTTATTTGCTTTATGTTTAGGGATTCTTTTTTAAACTTTAATTTTTACTGTTTACATGGTTCCAAGCTCAGAATCAAATCTGTAAAGCAAGGTACTTACAGAAAAAAGTCTAGCTTTCATATTTTTCACTCTGTCATCTCTCCTTCTATAGGTAACCATTTTGCCTGCTTTTTTTTCTTTTGTTCTTTTTTTTTTTTTTTTCAGGATAGGGTCTCGTTCTTTCACCCAGGCTGGAGTGCAGTGGTATAATCAAAGCTTACTGTACCCTCAAATTCCTCAGCTCAAGCCATCCTCCCATCTTAGCCTCCCAAGTGGTTAGGACTATAGGCCTGCACTATCACACCCAGCTAATTTTACAACTTTTTGTAGAGACAAGATCTCACTATGTTGCCCAGGCTAGTCTTTTAACTCTTGGCCACAATTGTCCTCCTGCTTCTGTGTGTCAAGTTTTTGGGATTACAAGTGTGAGCCACTGAACCTAGCCTTTCCATTAAAAAAAAATTATATATATATATTTATTTATTTTTATTCTCCTTTTTTAGATAAAAGGTAGTTTACTGTTATTTATCCTGTTTTTTATCTTACTGGTATATCTTCGATGTCACTTCATAGCGATACATGGATATGTATTTTACATCTGTGCAGTGCTTCATTATGAGGATGTACCCTGGTTCATTGAATCAGTTTTTTGCTATTACGAAGAGTGCTGTTGTCATGTTGCCAGTTTATCTTTAGGATAAAGCCCCAGGAGTGGCATGCTGGGTCACAGGTTTAATATCATTTTGAAGTTATTGCTAAATTTTCCTCCATAGGATTTGTACTATTTTGTATTTCCAGAAATGCAAATGCTTTTACGTTTTATGATTCAGTGAACCTTCAGGATATAAAGAGGTGAATTCATAGTATATGGGATAGAAGAAAGAATCATAAATAGTTACTGATTAAAATGTCAAAATTTAATGCAAACGTAATACAAAGGTTTTTTATGTTAATGAATTGGTTAGTGTACTTGCCTGAACTATATTCAAGTGAAAATGAATTATGTACTTTGAATATAGCAGTTTTCTTGGTATATGTGGGTATATGGATTATGAATAAAAAATGAAAATTCTTTTGGGTGAAAAAATAATAAATTTTAATGGAGTATTAAACACCTTACATTCCTTATTAATCTCATCTTTCATTTGGCATAGTGAATATTTTATGTGAAAAAAGCAAGGACTAGTTTCATTTTGAAGAATAAATCATTTGCTATTAGTAAACAGCTGATTGGATTTGAAATTTGTCATTTGTAGATTTAATTGTTGCACTTTGGGTTGTCTATATGCTGGAAAGTCTGTGACACATACTAATTTGTAATTTTGAAATGATACTGAGTCAGATCTCTTTCAACTTTGCTGAAATCTTTTTGTTTTTATTCTCTACTTGTATTAACACTTTTTATTAAGGATTTGAGAGTTAAATTTTTCAGCTAGTTTAACAAATGACTACTTCTGTATCTTATGGAAGAAATGATGTGCTATATTGTTTGGTTTGGCATTTTTTTTATTTTTATTTTTTGAGTTGGAATCTCAATCTGTCGCCCAGGCTGAAGTGCAGTGTCTCAGCTCATTGCCACCTCCTGGGTTCAAATGATTCTCCTGCCTCAGCCTTCCGAGATCTGGGATTATAGGCATGGGCCACCATGCCCAGCTAATTTTTGTATTTTTAGTAGAGACAGGGTTTCACCATGTTGGCCAGGCTGGTCTCGAACTTCTGATCTCAAGTAATCCACCCGCCTCGGCCTCCCAAAGTGCTGGGATTATAGGTATGAGCCACCAAGCCTGACCTGTTTGGCATTTTCTAAGTTCCGGGAAGATGTTATTCACAACTGTCAAAGTACTATCATAGGAAGGAAAAAAATTGGAAAGAGAGATTGGATTCAGATCCTAGAAGACCTTACTTTTTTGGCTAAGAAGTTTGGTCTCTATTCAGCAGACAGGGAAAATCAATAAAGAATTTGTAAGATGCCATTTAGCTTTGAATTCTTCAGAGGAAAAACTTGAGTGGTACACTCAAGTTAGTTTCCATGTAAACTTTGTGATATAATTGAATAGTTACATGAACTGTTTTTTGCTTATGGAGAACCTGAAGCATATGTGGTATTGTTAGTGGCTGGGCTATGATAATTCAAGTTTATTGAGGCCATACTCTATGTCAGGTACATAGTACTCTACAAAATACTTTACATGGATTGTCTCCTTCAATCCTCACAGCAACCAGGACAAGGGAGGGGCTAGTGTTATCCCCATTCTAATCTCATCAGAGGAGAAATTTAAGGCTTATAGAAATGAAACACATTATCCAGGATTGGATCCTGTACATATAAAGGATATTATTGGAACAATTAGTGAAATTTGAATGGGGCCTGTTGATTAGATGGTAATTTTAATCAATGTTAACTTCCAGATTTTGATGATGATTTTGTGGTTAGATAGAATGTCCTTGTACTTAGGATACACACACACATACACAGATACACGGGCACACACACACACACACACACACACACTGTGTATATGTATACATTGAGATATTAAGTGGGCATCATGTCTGAAACATTCTTAAATGACTCAAAAATATTAACAATTTCATAATCTGGGTGACAGGTATGAGAGAGTATGTGTGTGTCTTTACCGCCTTTCTACTTACTCTAACCAAGGTCATGTATAATCAGAAAGTTAAATATAAATTCAAGAGATCTATGGTACAGCAGGATGACTGTAGTTCCTGACGATATATTGTAAATTCTTGAAAAATGCAGAGAGTAAATGTTGAGTTTTCTCATAACAAAATAATGGCATGAGGTAACGCATTCGTTAATTAGCTAGTTAGCTATTTCACAATGTGTATGTGCCTTCAAACATGTTGTACATGATAAATACAATGTTCTCTGTTAAAAAAATTGTTTTAAGAGTTTCACAGCATAATATAATTGTTATTGAGTCTAAGATTGCATAATACTGTTAGATTTTGTTTTTAGTATTTTCATATTTAAATAGTATACTGAGATAATTTATTTTAATATGAACATTTAATAATTTTAAAATATTTTTAAAAATTAAGCCAATTTTTATTCATTCCTCATACTAATTGATTATTCTCACTTTAACAGCATTGCTTATCACTTTCAGGTTTCTTCTAAATCAGATTGTTTGCCTTTTGTAGTAGTTATACTGTGAGATCGCTTAGTAAATGTTAAGTGATTGTGGTGTTTTGTTTTTGTTTTTGTTTTTTGAGTGGGAGAAGGTCTTGCCCTGTCACCCAGGCTGGAGTGCAGGGTTGTGATCACGGCTCACTGCAACCTGCATTTGGGCTCAAGCAATCCTCCCACCTCATCTTCCCGAGTAGCTGGTACTACAGGCATATACCACCATGTGATTGTGGTTTTTTAAAAAAAGCCTCTTTTATTGTAAGCTTATAATTTACAATGGACTGTTAAACACATTTTATAATTTATGCATTTTAATTTAGTTTTAAATGTTATTATCTAAAAATAAGTATCTGCTTTTTGTTTTAACATAGGTTATCTTATGATGAGGCTTTTGCTATGGCTAATGATCCCTTGGAAGGCTTCCATGAAGTAAACCTTGCTTCACCTACTTCTCCGGACCTTCTTGGTGTGTATGAATCAGGAACTCAAGAGCAGACTACCTCACCAAGTGTCATCTACCGGCCACACCCTTCAGCTTTATCCTCTGTACCTATCCAGGCAAATGCATTAGATGTTTCTGAACTTCCTACACAACCCGTGTATTCATCCCCCAGACGTTTAAATTGTGCGGAAATATCTAGTATCAGGTAGGAAATAAGTAAATCACTTATTTGATTTTTTTTAAAATGGACAGTTTGCTTAGTTACTATATTTTAAGTTTTACTATTTTTAGAAAATTTGAATAACTTAAGTGTGCCTAGGTAAAGAAATACATGACCTGATAATGTTCTAGAACAGGGTTGACAAACTTTATATGTGAAGGACCAGATAGTAAATATTTTAGGCTTTGCAAGCCATGCAGTCTCTGTTGCAACTATTCAACTCTGCCTTTAGAGTTTGAAAGCAGCCATAGACAGTATGTAAATGAATGAGAGTGGTTGTGTTCCAATAAAACTTCATATATGGATGCAGAATTTTGAATTTCATTTAATTTTCATGTGTCACAAAATATTCTTTTAAAGATTTCTTTTCAACTATTTGAAATTGTAAAAACTATACTTGGCTCATTGATACCTTATAAAAACGGGTGGAAGGCTTGGTTTAGCCTGTAGGCTATAGTTTGTTAACCCCTGCTCTTGAGTAGCACTGTCCTGTAGAACTTTCTGTGTTGATGAAAATGTTCTATTTCTGTGCTATCTAATATGAATGATAGGTATTAACCACATGTAGCTATTGAGCACTTGAAATGTGGCTGATATGACTGAGGACATACTATTTATTTAAATATAGAAGCTACCAAATTGGGTAGTACAGTTCTAGAGCTGTGTGTTTAAGCCAGTTCTATTGGAGCATATGCTGATATTTTCTGAAAAATGTCTCTCTCCTTTACAGCTTTCATGTTACAGACCCAGCCCCTTGCTCTACCTCTGGAGTCACAGCTGGATTAACTAAATTAACTACAAGAAAGGACAACTATAATGCAGAGAGAGAGTTTTTACAGGGTGCTACTATAACAGAGGCTTGCGATGGCAGTGATGATATTTTTGGGTTGAGTACTGATAGTCTGTCTCGTTTACGAAGCCCATCTGTTTTGGAAGTTAGAGAAAAGGGCTATGAACGATTAAAAGAAGAACTCGCAAAAGCTCAGAGGGTAAGAAAGAAGATATTTTATTCTTCCATATATTATATTAGAAATTAGTATTTCTCCATGGGGTGGGGCAACCTGCAGAAATGAAATCATGATGGTTGTACATTTATCCGTCACATATGCCCAGCCTCAGCTCCTGTTAGGCAGCATTTAGGAATCCGTGAAACTGGTTGGGTAGTAAAGAAGTTCCTCTAAGACTACTAACTGGAAAAATGTGGCTCTGTTAACTCTTCTGTGCCCCACTGCATTGCCTGCTCCCTGTCTCGTATTATCTGTAATGCAGATTGAGTGGGCTATATTCCACATGCAGGGTTTTTCCTTCTTACTACATGGCTGACTAAATGGTTATTTACTTGAAGTCACTCAGTCTAAGTCATTTTGTTTTGAGTTTAAGCTGAGTTTGAATATTTTCTGTATCTTACCTTGGAGAATTTTCTTGGTAAATTGTTGTGTTTCCCATTTGGTCATTTTAAAAGTTTCTGCTATTTATTTCCAAACTTGTGGCCATATCTTATTCTTTTTCTGAGTCTGCAGTTAAATTTCAGAGGAAAATTTATAGAATGAAATGCATACATCAGAAAACAGGAAAAGTCTCAAATGGACAATCTAAGCTCCCACTTTAAGAATCTGTAAAAAGAAGAGCAAAATAAAACCAGAGCAAGTAGAAGGAAGGAAATAATAAAGAGCAAAAATCAATGAAATTGATAACAGAAAAAATAGAGAAAATGAGTGAGACAAAATGTTGGTTCTTTAAGAAGATTAATAAAATTGCAAACCTCTAGCAAGACTGACAAAAAGAAGACAGATTTATCAGTAGCAGGAGTGAAATGCAGGATGTCACTGGAGACTCATATCAAAAGTATAATGGAATGATATGAAAAACTGCATATATAAACCTGACAACCTAGGTGAAATACCAATTCACATGTAGAAAATTGAGAAGGTAGGGCAAACATTTATAGGTGTAATATCCAACCTACCATGACATTTCACAAATGTATTCCCACTCTTTCCCTAGCATACTTGTCTCTCATGAGCGTAGTATATTCATTTTTTTAATCCCCAGTTCCTTCCCAAAGGAAAAGGATGTGGTGAGATGTGGTTGCATTTTGTTTCTGTCATCTGGCTCAGACTTTGTTGTCTTAATAGATAGTATTTTATTAAAATCACACATTATATAGAGGTAAAATTTTGAGTATATGTATCCATCTTTGAGAACACATGGTTATTGATCAGAACAGATTGCTAATTTCTTAGCTCACTTGAGAATTTCCTTTGAAATCTCTAATATGCTGTATTTAGAGATACTGTTTGGATAATTGAAATGGTGATGTGTAAACACATATGTGGTGACTTTTATGAAGAGTATAAGTTAGTATTAATATTTACTTAGATCTCAAGGCTTGAAAAGGACTCTTGAATATAAAAATACTTCCTGAATTGTGACAACTTGTGAATCAAACTATGTCAACAGCCATTTTCTTTAGTCTTATCTTAAGAGAGGCCATTTTCTATACTTTTTACTTACTTGGTTAACTGTGTCTTCCTATTTAATACGAGTTTCTTATAGATAGTGTACAGTTAGGTCTTGTTCTTTTGATCCTTTGTAATTATCTCTGTCTTTTAATTGGTGTTTAGACCATTTACATTTAATGGATAATGGTATAGTTTGGTTTAAATTTACCATCTTACTGTTTGTTTTCTGTTTGTCTCATTTGTTCCTTTTTCCCTTTTGTATCCTTTCTTTTGAATTAATTCTGTATTTTTAAAACAATTTCATCTTCCTGTGGCTTTTATCTTTGTTGCTTTAGCGTTTATAGTAGACATATTTAACTTATCACTCTCTACCTTCCGGTGATATATTACTTTACATCTGGTGTACAAACCTTACAAAAGTATACTTTTATTTTTCCCCTCCTAGTTTTTGTGCAATAATTGTTGTATGTTTCACTTCTTTGTGTGTTTAAACCCCACAAAACACTATTGTTTTGCATTAAACAGTATTATCTTTTAAAGAGACTTAAATAATAACAAAGAATCTTTACATAGATAAACATCAGAAATGTTAGCTACATGGGCATCTGTGTGTTCATTCCTTTTTTTTTTTTTTTTTTTTTTTTTACAAGTTTTACTTTTATTTTTGAATGATAGTTTAACGGGGCATACAATTCTAGGTTGATGGTTGTTTTTTTTTTTCTCAACAAACACTTTCATAATTTTACGTCTTTGTCTTCCGGCATCTATCATTGTTGATGAGAAGCCAGCTGTCAATGTAGTTGTCATTCCTTTGTAGATAATTGGTTTTCTTCCTCCTTCTGGTCACTTCTAAGATTTTTTTTTTTTAATTGATCATTCTTGGGTGTTTCTCGCAGAGGGGGATTTGGCAGGGTCATAGGACAATAGTGGAGGGAAGGTCAGCAGATAAACAAGTGAACAAAGGTCTCTGGTTTTCCTAGGCAGAGGACCCTGCGGCCTTCCGCAGTGTTTGTGTCCCTGGGTACTTGAGATTAGGGAGTGGTGATGACTCTTAACGAGCGTGCTGCCTTCAAGCATCTGTTTAACAAAGCACATCTTGCACCGCCCTTAATCCATTTAACCCTGAGTGGACACAGCACATGTTTCAGAGAGCACAGGGTTGGGGGTAAGGTCATAGATCAACAGCATCCCAAGGCAGAAGAATTTTTCTTAGTACAGAACAAAATGAAGTCTCCTATGTCTACTTCTTTCTACACAGACACAGCAACAATCTGATTTCTCTATCTTTTCCCCACCTTTCCCCCTTTTCTATTCCACAAAACCGCCATCGTCATCATGGCCCGTTCTCAATGAGCTGTTGGGTACACCTCCCAGACGGGGTGGTGGCCGGGCAGAGGAGCTCCTCACTTCCCAGAAGGGGCGGCCGGGCAGAGGCGCCTCCGACCTCCCGGACGGGGCGGCGGCCGGGCGGAGGCGCCCCCCACCTCCCTCCTGGACGGGGCGGCTGGCTGGGCGGGGGCTGAACCCCCACCTCCCGGACGGGGCGGCTGGCCGGGCAGGGGCTGACCCCCCACCTCCCTCCCGGACGGGGCGGCTGCCGGGCGGGGGCTGACCCCCCACCTCCCTCCCGGATGGGGCGGCTGGCCGGGCGGGGGCTGACCTCCCACCTCCCTCCCGGACGGGGCGGCTGCCGGGCGGAGGGGCTCCTCACTTCTCAGACGGGGCTGCCGGGCAGAGACGCTCCTCACCTCCCAGACGGGGTCGCGGCTGGACAGAGGCGCTCCCCACATCTCAGACGATGGGTGGCCGGGCAGAGACGCTCCTCACTTCCCAGACGGGGTGGCGGCCGGGCAGAGGCTGCAATCTCGTCACTTTGGGAGGCCAAGGCAGGCGGCTGGGAGGTGGAGGTTGTAGCTAGCCGAGATCATGCCACTGCACTCCAGCCTGGGCAACATTGAGCCCTGAGTGAATGAGACTCCGTCTGCAATCCCGGCACCTCGGGAGGCCGAGGCTGGCGGATCACTCACGGTTAGGAGCTGGAGACCAGCCCGGCCAACACAGCGAAACCCCGTCTCCACCAAAAAAATACGAAAACCAGTCAGGCGTGGCGGCGTGCGCCTGCAATAGCAGGCACTCGGCAGGCTGAGGCAGGAGAATCAGGCAGGGAGGTTGCAGTGAGCCAAGATGGCAGCAGTACAGTCCAGCTTTGGCTCGGCATCAGAGGGAGACCGTGGAAAGAGAGGGCGAGGGAGACCGTGGGGAGAGGGAGAGGGAGACTGTGGGGAGAGGGAGAGGGAGAGGGAGAGCCTCCAACTCTCCTCTTGCTCAGGATCCGTTTGGGGACTTGCTCTGTGTGTTCATTCCTTTGGTATTCATTTCTTCATGTGGATCCAGATTTCCAACTCGTATCATTTTTCCTTTGGCTTGAAGGACATCCTTTTACATTTTTGTTGTGCATGTTTGATGGTGATAAATTCTTTTAGCTTTTGTATGTCTGTGTTCATTTTTGGTTTTTGAAAGATATTTTCACTGAGTAAAGAATTTAAGATTGATAATTTTTTTTTTTTTGTTACTGTAAAGATGTTGCTTCAGTGTTTTCAAGCATGTACATTGTTTCTCACAAGAAGTCTGCTGTTACCCTTACCTTTGTTCCTCTGCGTATTAGGTCTTTTCTCTCTGGCTGCTTATGAGAGTCCTCTCTCACTGGCATAAGCAATGTGATTGTGATTTGCTTTGGTGTAGTTTCTTCAGCTTTCTTATGTTTGGGATTTATTGAGCTTCTTGAAGCTGTAGGTTGTTAGTTTTCATAAAATTTGGGAAATTTTGGCCTTTATATCTTCAAAAAGTTTTCCATTCTTCCTCTCTCTCTCCTTTCCTCTGGATTCCTATTACATGTACATTAGACTGCTTAAACTTATCTCACAGCTTGCTGGTGTTACAG
Organism: Homo sapiens; assembly: GCF_000001405.40. NCBI lineage: Eukaryota > Metazoa > Chordata > Mammalia > Primates > Hominidae > Homo > Homo sapiens. The sequence goes on from NC_000012.12 coordinate 69,761,078, forward strand.
TCTTTCATTTAAAAATCTTTTTTTCCTCACTGTGTTTCATTGTGGGTAGTTTCTATTGCTATGTCTTCAAAGTCACTACTCTTTTCTTCTGAAATATCTAATCTGTTAATCCCATACAGTATGTTTTTAAACTAGACATTGTAGTTTTCATCTCTGAAAGTTTGATTTGGATCTTTTTTATACTTTGCTTGCTCTGCTTAATATGTTGGGATGCAGTTTAATAAATGTTTTGTTTCTAATTATTTCATCTCTTCAGATAATAAGCTGGGGCAGATCTGGGGTGCACATTTTGTTTTTCATTTCTAGGGGATCACTGTCTTTTATTGCCTAATATCAAATGCTTCAAATTGTTGATCCATATATTTTTTCAGAGTTTTAGTTGTGTCAGATGGGTGGTAAATCTAATCCCTGTTCCTCTATCTTAATTGGAAGTGAAAGTTCTACTTACTCATTTATATTACTTCATTGTCTACCCCATTCAAGTAATCCACATAGAAAAACCTGCATTTATACACACATGCTTCAGTACTTCTGAGATTCATGAGGATAAGGATTGCATATGTTTGTGCTCATGATTATATCTTGAGCATATAATGGGTTTTCAATACATTTTGTTGATTAAATGAATATATACATGTATATGCGGTTATACAAGTGTTTGTATACACACATGCCTGATATATTAGGGTGATGCTTATAAGTAACCCCCAAATTTTCGTGACTTTACCTAATAGAAGTTCATTTTTATTCATTTAACACTCTGAAGCAGATGTTCATAGTTGGTAGGCAGTTCTCTGTGAAATAATTCAGAGATCTGTTTCTCTTCTGTTTGGGGCCTTTGTAATTTCTTAGGGTTTTATTGTTATTTGTATCTAACCAATGAGACAAAAGGGAAAGACAGCTTAGAGAAGGTACAGCTTCTTCTAAAAAACCTTGGCTTAGATATGATACACATCACTTTTGCTCACATTCTATTGGTGTGAACCTTTCATGCCAATACCTAGATGTATGGTGGGCTGGGTAATGTAATCCCTGGATGGACAACCACTTCCCAGCAACAAATCCATACTGTGTGTGTAGGGGGACCAATCATGTGGTCACTTATTTTCAGGTGCAGGGATGCCAGAGATTATGATGTAGTCATTTAGCTGTTTGGCCTTCCATAGGATATTTCTGAAGAGCAGCTTTTAGTGGAATTCTCAGGAGGAAATTGGGCTTTAGTGCATTCTTATTAAGTATAGATCCTTGCACTCTACTCCAGATCTGCTGAAATCAAATTATTGTGTTGAGGTTTGGGAATATGCATTTTCATCAAACTTGTTGATTCTTACATTCACTAAAAGGTGAAATCTGCTGTAAGAGGTTATTTTAAACTTTTATTTTTCTTAAAAGAAAATGAGCTGGGCGAAGTGGCTCACGCCTGTAGTCCCAGCACTTTGGGAGGCCGAGGCGGGCAGATCACCAGGTTAGGAGATCGAGACCATCCTGGCTAACACGGTGAAACCGCTTCTCTACTAAAAATACAAAAAATTAGCCAGGTGTGGTGGCAGACGCCTGTAGTCCCAGCTGCTTGGGAGGCTGAGGCAGGAGACTGGCGTGAACCCAGGAGGTGGAGCTTGCAGTGAGCTGAGATTGCGCCACTGCACTCCAGCCTAGGCAACAGAGGGAGACTCCGTCTCAAAAAAAAAAAAAAAAAAAAAAAGAAAAAAGAGAAAAAGAGAAAAAGAAAAAGAAAATGAAATGACTTAGAAAATAAAGCCCAGTAGGATAGCTTGCAAAGAGAGTCATTGAAAATCACATACTTGCACTAACCCTATTCAGTATTGGTTCTACTAACTGTAGCCAAAGACATTTGTAAACATTAACAAATATTTTTTTATGAGATAAAACTATAAATTTTATTTTGCTTCTCAACATAAGCTCCGTCAAGTTGAAGACACTTTTATAAGGGATGATAACCAGCCATTTAGTTCATCCTTAAAGAACTGAGGGTGCTGGGAATTTAACCATGTCAATGCAGTCTTTTTTACATTATTAGCTGAAGAAAAATGGATGCTTTTTAAATATTTTTTTAAGATTGTGAACAAAGAATTCTGAAGGAGCCAAATAAGGATTGCAAGGTGTATGCCTAATGATTTTTCATGGAAACTCTCACAAAATTGCCCTTGATGAGAGGAATGAGCAGGAACATTGTTGTGGTGGAGAACGACTCTGGTGAAGCTCTCTTGGGCATCTTTCTGCTAAAACTGTGACTAACTTTCTCAAAACACTCTGATAGTAAGCAGTTGTTAACCATTCTTTGGCCCTCCAGAAAATCAACCAGCAAAATGCCTTGAGCATGTAAAAAATTGTTGCCATGACCCTTGCTCTTGATCAGTCCACTTTTGCTTTGACTGGACCACTTCCACCTCTTGGTAGCCATTGCTTTGATTGTACTTTGTCTTCAGCATCATACAGGAAAAGTTATGTTTCATCTCCTATTATAATTCTTTGAAAATGCTTCAGGATCTTGATCTCACTTGTTAAAATTTTTTTTTCTTCAACTTTTATTTTAAATTTAGGGGGTATATGTGCAGGTATATTACCTGGATATATTGTATAGTTCTGTGGTTTAGGTTATGAATAATCCTGTCACCCTGGTACTGAGCATAGTACCCAATTGTTAGTTTGTCAGCCCTTGTCCCCCTCCCCTGTCTAGTAGTCCCCAGTTTCTATTTTTCCCATCTTTAGGTCCATGAGTACAATGTTTAGCTCCCACTTATAAGTGAAAAAAATGCAATACTTGGTGTTCTGTTCCTATGTTAATTTGCTTAGGATAATAGCCTCCAGCTGCATCAGTGTTGCTGCAGAGGAATTTATTTTGTTCTTTTTTAATGGCTATATAATATTCCTTGGTGTATATGCACTACATTTTCTTTATCTGATCCACTGTTGATGAGCATCTAGGTTGATTCCATGTCTTTGCTATTGTGCATAGTGCTGGGATGAACATGTGAGTGCATGTGTCTTTTTGGGAGAACAGTTTATTTTCTTTTGGATATATACCCAGTAATGGGATTGCTGAGTTGAATGGTGGTAATTCTTTCCCAAGGCTGATGTCCAGAATGGTGTTTCCTAGGTTTTTTTCTAGGATTCTTATGGCTTATGGATTCTTATGGCTTATTCCTAGGTTGTTTTCTAGGATTCTTATGGCAAAGATTTCTTACATTGAAATCTTTAATCTATCTTAATTTTTGTATATGGTGAAGGGGGATGGGTATTCCAGTTTCATTCTTCTGCATATGCCTAGCCAGCTATCCTAGCACCATTTGTTGAATAAGGAGTCATTTCCTCATTGCTTATTTTTGTTGATTTTTGTCAAAGATCAGATGGCTGTAGGTCCAGGGCTTTATTTCTGGGTTCTGTATTTTGTTCCATTAGTCTATGTGTCTGTTTTTGTACCAGCACCATGCTGTTTTGATTACTGTAACCTTATAAAATAGATTGAAGTCAAGTAATATGGTACCTCTGACTTCTTTTTTCAAAGGATTGCTTTGGCCATTCAGGCCCTTGTGTGGTTCCATATGAGTTTTTAAATACTTTTTTTTTTTTTAGTTCTGTGAAAAACAACATTGGTAGTTTGATAGGAATACCGTTGAATCTGTAGATTGCTTTGGGCAGTATGGCCATTTTAACAATGTTGATTCTTCCAGTCCATGAGCATGAAATATTTTTAAAATTTCTTTGTGTTATTTATGATTTAACGGTATTTTATAGTTCTCTTTGTAGAGATCTTTCACCCCCTTGGTTGGATGTATTCCTAGGTATTTGTGTGTGTGTGTGGTTATTGTAAATGAGATTGTGTTCTTGATTTGCTCTCACCTTGAATGTTATTGGTGTATACAAATGCTGCTGAATTTTGTACATTGACTTTGTATCTGGAAACTTTACTGGAGTCATTTATCAGTTCCAGGAACCTTTTGGAAGAGTCTTTATGGTTCTTCAGGTATAAAATCATATAGTCTGTAGGAGAGGTAATTTGACTTTTTCTTTTCATGTTTGGTTGCCTTTTACTTTTTTCTCTTGCTGGATTCCTCTGGCTAACACTTCCAGTACTATGTTGAATAGGAATGGTGAGAGTGGGCATCGTCGTCTTGTTCCAGTTCTTGGGGAAGCCTTCCAATTTTTGTCCATTCAGTATGATGTTGGCTGTGGGTTTGTCATAGATGGCTCTTATTATTTTGAGGTACATTTCTTTGATGCCTAATTTCTTTAGCGTTTTTATCGTGAAAGGATGTTGGATCTTATTGAAAGCTTTTTCCACCTCTGTTGAGATGATCGTATGGCTTTTGTTTTTAATTCTATTTATGTTGTGAATCACATTTATTGACTTGTGTATATTGAACCAGTCTTGCATCCCAGGAATAAAGCCTACTTGATCATAATGAATTAACTTTTTGATGTGCTGTTGGAATCAGTTTGGTAGTATTTTGTTGAGGATTTTTGAATCTGTGTTCACCAGGGATATTGGCCTGTGTACTTAAGTGTGACCAGGAGGTCTGCCTGAGCATGGAGCAGAGAGGACCCGCCTATATCAAAGCCTCTGCACAGGAGGAGTGAGGCAACTCAGGCTGCCGAACGAAGCATGCAGGTGCTTTGAATGCATGGAGATCTGCCTGGGCATGTGGCAGAGAGGATCTCTAATTTTTGTGGTAGCAGGTATCATTCTTTTGTTTCTATGTTTAGAACTCTCTTAAGGGTATCTTGTAAGGCTAGTCTAGTGGTAATGAATTCCCTTAGCAGTTGCTTGTCTGGAAAATATTTTATTTCTCCTTTGCTTATGAAGCTTAGTTTGACAGGATATGAAATTCTTGGTTAGAATTTCTTTTCTTTCAGAATGCTGGAAATAGGTCCCCAATCTATCCTGGCTTGTAAGGTTTCTGCTGAGAAGTCCAAAGCCTGGTATGGCTCCATTTGTATGTGATTATGTAATCTAACCTTTTTCTCAGCCTTTAAGTATTTTTGTTTGTTTTGTTGTGTTTTGCATTGACCTTGGACAGTCTGGTGACTATGTCCTGTGACGATCTTCATTTTGGATAGTATCTTGCAGTTCTCTAGATTTTTTGTATCTGGGTGTTTACCTTTCTAGCAAGGTTAGGGAAATTTTCTTGAATTACTCCCTCAAATATGTTTTCCAGGTTGTTTACTTTTTCTTCTTCTTAGGAATGCCAATAATTCATAGGTTTGTTTCTTTTATGTAATCCCATATTTCTCAACGACTTTGTTCATTTTTTAAAATTATTTTCTCTTTATTTTTGTTTGACCAGGTTAATTCCAAAGACCATTTTTCAAGCCCTGAAATTCTTTTTTCTGTTCGGTCCCATCTGTTGCTAAAGCTTTCAATTGTATTTTCAAATTCCTTACGTCAGTTTTTTGGTTCCAGAAACTCTGATTTCTTTTTCTTTTCTTTTCTTTTTTTTTTTAAGACAGTTTCACTCTTGTCACCCAGGCTGGAGTGCAATGGCACCATCTCGGCTCACTGCAACCTCCGCTTCCCAGGTTCAAGTGATTCTCCTGCCTCAGTCTCCCGAAGTAGCTGGGATTACAGGCGCCTGCCACCATGCCCAGCTATTTTTTTTTTGTATTTTCAGTTGAGATGGGGTTTCACCATGTTGGCCAGGCTGGTCTTGAACTCCTGACCTCAGGTGATCCACCCACTTCGGCCTCCCAAAGTGCTGGGATTACAGGCATGAGCCACCATGCCCGGTGCAGAACCTCTGATTTCTTTTGAATATGTTTATTTCTTCTTTTATTTCCTGGATTGCTTTAGAAGTTTCTTCTATGTTGATTGTCAACTCTGTCTTGGATCTCATTGATCTTCCTTGCAATTCATGTTTTGAATTCTTTATCTGTCATTTCTGAGTTCACATTTTAGTTAAGAACTGTTGCTGGAGAGCTAGTGCTATCCCTTGGTGGTGTTACTACATTTAGATTTTTCATCATGCCAGAATTCTTCCACTGGTTTCTCCTCATCTGGAGATGATTGCACTTCTAATTTTTGTAATTAATTTCATGTGAGTAGGATTTTTTTTCTTCCCTATAATTGTTTTTTTCTTTTCCTTTCTTTTCCTCCCTATTGGGGTGTGACTGTAGAGAATTCTGGGTAGGATCTTTTGGTTTTGCTTCTATAGTTCTGTGCACTTCTTTCAGCAGGTTTTATATTGGGCTGTGCATTTGACCTACAAGTCAGTAGGCCATGCTTATTGATAAGAGTCAGCTGTAGCCAATGCTGCTGGGTATATACTTGTTTAATGGTAGAAACTCTGTTGCCTCAGGCAGTGGTCTGAGCTCCCTGCTCAGCTCCAGGGGGATGGGGCCATGATTGGTGAGAACGACTGGGCAAATCTGCCAAAGGTTCACTCATGGCAAGCACAAACACCAGTGCTGACGGTGAATCCAATGGGCGGCCACCAAGTACCCAGAAGTGTGCCTAGGCATGGAGCTGGGAATCCCCTTCAGCCCTAAGTTCTCTGCATGGGAGTCGGAGTAGCCTAAATTCTTGATCTAAGAGAGTTGGTGCTCCAGGTGCCTGGAGGTCTGCCTGGGCGTGGAGCAGAGAGGACCCCCCTATACCAAGGCCTCTGCACAGGAGGAGTGAGGCAACTCAGGCTGCCAAACCAAGCATACAGGTGCTTTGAATGCCTGGAGATCTGCCTGGGCATGTGACAGAACCTGCCTGCCCCAGGATCTCTGCACAGGAAGGTTGGGGTGGCTCAGACTGCTGATTCAGGTGAGTGGGATCTCTGAATGCCTGGAGATCTGCCTCAGTGTGAAGTGGAGAAGACCCCCTTTCACCAAGATTTCTGCACAAGAGGGGTGAGGTTACTCATGCTCCTGAACCAGACAAACAGGTGCTTTGAATGCCTGGAGATCTGCTTGGGCATTTAACAGAAAGGGAACCCCTCCACCAGGATATCTGCACAGGAAGGGTGGTGGAGCAGCTCAAGCTTCTGATCCAGCAAGCTGGTTCCCTGAATGTCTGCAGATCTGCTTGGGTGTGTAGTGGAGAGGACCTCACTGTACCGTGATCTGCATCCAGTAAGGATGGTGCCAGCTCAGCCTGCTGAACCAGATGCACAGGCACTCTGAATGCCTGGAGATCTGCCTGGGCATGGACCAGAGAGGGTCTTGCTGTACCACAGTCTATGTCCAGGAAAGGGTAGGGTGGTTCAGGCTACTGATTCAGGTGAGTGGGTGCTCCAAATACCTGGAGATCTGCCTGGATATGGAGTGGAGAGAGCTCTGCTGCACCACAATCTATGTCCATGACGGGTGAGGTGGTGCAGGCTGCTGGTCAAGAAAAGTAGGTGCTCCAAATGCTTGGAGATCTTCCTGGGAATGGAGCAGAGAAGGCCCTGCTATGCTACAGTGTATGCCCAGGAAAGGTGGGGCTGCTCAGGCTGCTGGGCCAGGCAGGTGGGTGCTCTGAATGCCTGGATTTCTCCCTGGGGTGGAGTGAGAGGACTCCACTGCACCGCGATCTCAGGAACAGACTGAGGCACCCAGCAGTGTCTCACGCAGATCAGTTCATGTTGCCAAACTGGCCCTGGCTGCAAGCCTTGCTGCCCAGGAGAAACTGCTGTGGTAATAGTTCTCCTCCTGCCCCAACCCTGTGACAGGGAAGAGTACAATTCCAGTGTCTACTACTCCAGTACTTTCCACAGTTCTGCTTGTGGAGGCCCTGACCTCACTCTAAAACAGGTGCTCCAATCTCTGTCCTAAGACTAAAATGCATGAATGGCCATGTTGCCAGGTTGTCAAAGAATGGCTGACTTCGTATGTACCCTGATAGGGTTTGGCTGTGTCCCCACCCAAATCTCATCTTGAATTCCCATGTGTTGTGGGAGGGACCCTGTGGGAGGTAATTGAATCATGGGGTCAGGTCTTTCCTGGGCTGTTCTCCTGATACTGAATAAGTATGAGGTCTGATGGTTTTATGGGGGGTAGTTTCCCTGCTCAATCTCTCTTCTGTTGTCTGCCACCATGTTAGATGTGTATTTCGCCTTCTGCCGTGATTGTAAGCCTCCTCAGCAATGTGGGAACTGTAAGTCCGTTAAACCTCTTTCTTTCATAAATTGCCCAGTCTTGGGTATGTCTTTATCAGCAGCATGAAAACAGACTAATACGTGCCCAGATTAAAAATGGCATTCTGCTTTTGGTCCTGGATTTGGGAACATGTCTGCAGCTTTTCCCAGTGTCTTTCCTTCATAGCATCTCCAAGCCTCTCTCCAAGTTAACTCCAGGGATTGGGAGAAACAAAGTGCTCTCCTTCAGCCAGGATAGGGAACCCCAGTGGACAGGTGAATCACAGAGGGAAGTTCTCTGCCTCTCTCACCTACTGGGACTTCACTCACTTTTATCAGCCAGACACTATCACGGGGGCTGTTTGTCAGCATTCTCCTCCCTGGTATCTGGGGTGTCTTTTGTGATTCTGGTGGATTGCTGTTTTCCTTTTATGCCTTATCTTGTGACTTCCAAGTGGCCAAGGCATGCCCAAATCCTCTAATCTACCATCATGGGGAAGCAGAAAACCAGAAACAAATATTTATTGAATAACCAAAGTACTCAACAGCATTACAGTAGGTTGTGTAGGGGGCAAAAATAATATAGATATGTCTCTCTTTAAGGAGTTTACTAGTTGGGGAGAAGTAGCATGTATTTTATGGTGATGTTTCATTGATTCTGAGTTGTACATTTTTTTCAACTAACATCTCTGAAATCAGTAAAAGTCAAAATTATAGTCAGCTAGACATTAATCATGACATTTATCATTGCCTTCTTGTGTGTGAACTTGTCATAGCTGTGTTATAAATTTAATTGAATTATGTGAGTTGGGTTCCGTATTTGTGATCTTAATTACCGAATTAAATATCTTCAAAAGGATCTCACTGTGATATGACATCAAAACAGAAAGGCACAAAAAAGCACAGTTACATATGATAAAAGTCTATGTCTTCATCAGTTTAAGAGAGTCTTCCTATAAGTTTAAAATAAAAATTCCAGTTGGAAAAAAGAACATTATAGATTCATTAATAACATATTTTTAATGTCTAAAATTTTTTCTAAAAAATGATGAAGTCTTGGATTTGATGAAATACACTTGATTATAGAGTTGTAAATATACTCATCCCTTGGTATCCACTGGGGGTTTTGTTCCAGTCCTCCAAATCCGCCCCCCCACCCTGCCGGGGATTCCAAAATCGATAGATCCTCAATTGCATAGTGTTTGCATATAACCTATGCACATTCTCCTGTATACTTTAAATCATCTCTACATTACTTATAATACCTAATATAATATAAATGCTGTGTAAATAGTTGTTATACTGTATTGTCTTATACAAATTTGTATTTTTATTGTTTTTTCTCAACATTTTGATCTGTGGTTTGGTGAATATGCAGATGGAACCTGCTGATGCAGAACCTGTGTACACAGAGGGCCAACTGTATCTCTCAAATTTCTTGTCTCCAGTATTACCACTCTGAATCCATATCTCTTGCTTGAAATACTGCAGTGATTAGTTTTGTTTCTTTCCAGTCTTTTTTTTAACCTAGCCATAATGTCCAAGTTACCATTTAAAAAAAAGTTTGATTTTTAACTGACAGGTAGTAATTTTATATATTTATGCAACACAGTATGGTGTATATTTACACATACACATATACATATATACACACACACATTGTATAATGATCAAATCAGACTAATTAGCATTGCCATCACCTCAAATATTTATTGTTTCTTTGTGATGAGACATTAAAAATCTCTTCTATTTTGCAATATATAATAGATTATTAACTGTTGACCCTGCTGTGCAATAGAACACCAGAACTTATTTCTCCCATTTAAACTAACTTCTCATCTGTTTTACCAACCTCTCCTCATTCTACTCCTCCCTACTCTTCCCAGCTTTTGATAACCGCTATTCTCTGCTCTACTTCTATGAGATCAAATTTTTTAGATTTCACATATGAGTGAGATCATGCAATATTTGTCCTTCTGTACTTGGTTTATTTCACTTAACATGATGTCCTCTAGGCTTACCCATATTGTGACAAATGACAGGATTTCATTCTTGTTTATGGCTGAATAGTATTTCATTTTGTATATACACTGCATTTAAAATAATCCAGCAGGGCGTAGTGGCTTATGCCTGTAATCCCAGCACTTTGGAAGGCCAAAGTGGGAGGATGGCTTGACCACAGGCCTTCAAGACCAGCCTAGGCAACATAGCGAGATGCCATTTCTGCAAAAAATAAATTAATCAGACATGGTGGTGCATGCCTGTGTTCCCAGCTACTTGGAAAGCTGAGGTGGGAGGATTGCTTGAGCTTCTGTGGTTGAGGCTGCAGTGAGCTGTGATCATGTCACTGCACTCCAGCCTGGGTGACAGAGTGAGACCCTGTCTCCAAAAAAAAAAAAAAGTTCATTCACTGATGAACACTTAGGTTAATTCCATGTCTTAGCTTTTGAGAATAGTGCTGCGGTAAACTTGGGAGTGCAGCTGTCTCTTTGACATACTGATTTACTTTTCTGTGAATTTTATTCCCAGTAGTGGAATTGCTGGATATTCTATTTTTAATTTTTGGGAGAACCTCCATACTGTTGTCTGTAATGGCTGTACTAATTTATATTACCACCAACACTGTATGAAAGATTTCCTTTCTCCACATCCTCCTCAGTGTTTGTTATTTTTCATCATTTTGATGATAGCCATTCTAAGTGGGTTGAGATGATACCTCATGGTGGTTTTGATTTGTAGTCCCTTAATTATTAATGATGCTGAGCATTTTTTCATATACCTGTTGGCCATTTGTATGTCTTCTGAGAAATGTTTATTCAGGTCTTTTGCCCATTTTAAAATTATGTTATTTGTATTTTTGCCATTGAGTTGTTTCCGTTTCTGGGAGTGAGTGAGTACTGAATTTCCTTACTGTTATTGTATGACAGTCTATCCTTTTATGTCTATTAATATTTGCTCCAATGTAAGGTGCATATATATTTACAATTATTATATCCTCTTTATTGGCCCCCTTATCATTACATAATACTCTTGTTTCTTCTTACAATTTTTGGCTTAAAGTCTGTTTTATCTAATATAAGTATAGGTAGCTACTCCTGCTTTCTCTTGTTTTTCAATTTGCATTGAATGTTTTCCCTTTCAGTCTCTGTATGTCCTTACAGAGGATTTGAGTCTCTTGTAGGCAGGCAGCATGGAGTTGGGTCTTGTTTTTTAAATTCATTCAGTCACTCCGTCTCTTATTGGAGATTTTAATCTGTTTACATTCAACATAATTATTAATAAGTAAAGACATACTACTGCAATTTTGGTACTTCTTTTATAGTTGTTTTGTAGATCCTTCCTTCCACTCTGACTGTCTTCCTTTGTGGTTAAGTGATTTTCTCTAGTAATATGTTTTGACACCTTGCCTTTTACTTTTAGTGTATCTATTGTAGGATTTTGCTTTGTGGTTACCATGAGGCTTACAAAAAACATAACCAGTTATTTTAAACTGCTAACAACTTAATTTTGATCTCAAAGAAAAGAAAGAAAACGTACACTGTAACTCCATTCTTTTCCCACATTTTGAATTTTTGATGTTACAATTTATATCTTTGTGTATTGTCTCTCTCTTAACAAAGTATTACAGTTCTTATTTTTAATAGTTTTGTCTTTTAGTCTTAATAACTAAAGATAGGAGTGGTTAATATACTACTATTACAATATTAGAGTATTCTGAATTTGTCTGTTTACTGACTTGTGCCAGTAATTTTTATACCTTCAGGAGTTTCTTTGTTACATGTTAGCATTCTTTTCTTTCAGATTGAAGAAATCCCTTTAGCATTTCTTGTAAGATAATTCTGATGGTATTGAATTCCTTCAGCTTTTGTTTTTCTGGGAAACTTTTAATCTTCATTTCTGAAAGATGGCTTTGCTGGGTACAGTATTCTTGGTGTTTTTGTTTGTTTTTTCCTTCAGCTTTCTGAATATATTCTCCTACTTCCTCCTGATCTGCAAGGTTCTTGCTGAGAAGTTTGGTGCCAGGCATATTGGAATTCTTTTGTATGTTAACTTGCTTCTTTTCTCTTGCTGCTTTCAGAATCCCCTCCTTGTCTTTGATCTTTGAGAGCTTGATTATAATATGCCTTGGGGTAGTCTTATTTAGGTTGAATATGATTAGTGATCTTTGACTTTCCTTTATCTGGATTTTATTTTTCTTCAGGTTTTGAAAATGTTCTGTTATTATTTTTTTGGATACGCCTTCTACCCATTTGTCTTTCTTTTTTTTTTTTTTTTTTTTTTTTATTATACTCTAAGTTTTAGGGTACATGTGCACATTGTGCAGGTTAGTTACATATGTATACATGTGCCATGCTGGTGTGCTGCACCCACTAATGTGTCATCTAGCATTAGGTATATCTCCCAATGCTATCCCTTCCCCCTCCCCCGACCCCACCACAGTCCCCAGAGTGTGATATTCCCCTTCCTGTGTCCATGTGATCTCATTGTTCAATTCCCACCTATGAGTGAGAATATGCGGTGTTTGGTTTTTTGTTCTTGTGATAGTTTACTGAGAATGATGGTTTCCAATTTCATCCATGTCCCTACAAAGGATATGAACTCATCATATTTTATGGCTGCATAGTATTCCATGGTGTATATGTGCCACATTTTCTTAATCCAGTCTATCATTGTTGGACATTTGGGTTGGTTCCAAGTCTTTGCTATTGTGAATAGTGCCGCAATAAACATACGTGTGCATGTGTCTTTATAGCAGCATGATTTATACTCATTTGGGTATATACCCAGTAATGGGATGGCTGGGTCAAATGGTATTTCTAGTTCTAGATCCCTGAGGAATCGCCACACTGACTTCCACAATGGTTGAACTAGTTTACAGTCCCACCAACAGTGTAAAAGTGTTCCTATTTCTCCGCATCCTCTCCAGCACCTGTTGTTTCCTGACTTTTTAATGATTGCCATTCTAACTGGTGTGAGATGATATCTCATAGTGGTTTTGATTTGCATTTCTCTGATGGCCAGTGATGATGAGCATTTCTTCATGTGTTTTTTGGCTGCATAAATGTCTTCTTTTGAGAAGTGTCTGTTCATGTCCTTTGCCCACTTTTTGATGGGGTTGTTTGTTTTTTTCTTGTAAATTTGTTTGAGTTCATTGTAGATTCTGGATATTAGCCCTTTGTCAGATGAGTAGGTTGCGAAAATTTTCTCCCATGTTGTAGGTTGCCTGTTCACTCTGATGGTAGTTTCTTTTGCTGTGCAGAAGCTCTTTAGTTTAATTAGATCCCATTTGTCAATTTTGTCTTTTGTTGCCATTGCTTTTGGTGTTTTGGACATGAAGTCCTTGCCCACGCCTATGTCCTGAATGGTAATGCCTAGGTTTTCTTCTAGGGTTTTTATGGTTTTAGGTTTAACGTTTAAATCTTTAATCCATCTTGAATTGATTTTTGTATAAGGTGTAAGGAAGGGATCCAGTTTCAGCTTTCTACATATGGCTAGCCAGTTTTCCCAGCACCATTTATTAAATAGGGAATCCTTTCCCCATTGCTTGTTTTTCTCAGGTTTGTCAAAGATCAGATAGTTGTAGATATGTGGCATTATTTCTGAGGGCTCTGTTCTGTTCCATTGATCTATATCTCTGTTTTGGTACCAGTACCATGCTGTTTTGGTTACTGTAGCCTTGTAGTATAGTTTGAAGTCAGGTAGTGTGATGCCTCCAGCTTTGTTCTTTTGGCTTAGGATTGACTTGGCAATGCGGGCTCTTTTTTGGTTCCATATGAACTTTAAAGTAGTTTTTTCCAATTCTGTGAAGAAAGTCATTGGTAGCTTGATGGGGATGGCATTGAATCTGTAAATTACCTTGGGCAGTATGGCCATTTTCATGATATTGATTCTTCCTACCCATGAGATGGAATGTTCTTCCATTTGTTTGTGTTCTCTTTTATTTCCTTGAGCAGTGGTTTGTAGTTCTCCTTGAAGAGGTCCTTCACATCCCTTGTAAGTTGGATTCCTAGGTATTTTATTCTCTTTGAAGCAATTGTGAATGGGAGTTCACCCATGATTTGGCTCTCTGTTTGTCTGTTGTTGGTGTATAAGAATGCTTGTGATTTTTGTACATTGATTTTGTATCCTGAGACTTTGCTGAAGTTGCTTATCAGCTTAAGGAGATTTTGGGCTGAGACGATGGTGTTTTCTAGATAAACAATCATGTCATCTGCAAACAGGGACAATTTGACTTCCTCTTTTCCTAATTGAATACCCTTTATTTCCTTCTTCTGCCTGATTGCCCTGGCCAGAACTTCCAACACTATGTTGAATAGGAGCGGTGAGAGAGGGCATCCCTGTCTTGTGCCAGTTTTCAAAGGGAATGCTTCCAGTTTTTGCCCATTCAGTATGATATTGGCTGTGGGTTTGTCATAGATAGCTCTTATTATTTTGAAATACGTCCCATCAATACCTAATTTATTGAGAGTTTTTAGCATGAAGGGTTGTTGAATTTTGTCAAAGGCTTTTTCTGCATCTATTGAGATAATCATGTGGTTTTTGTCTTTGGCTCTGTTTATATGCTGGATTACATTTATTGATTTGCGTATATTGAACCAGCCTTGCATCCCAGGGATGAAGCCCACTTGATCATGGTGGATAAGCTTTTTGATGTGCTGCTGGATTCGGTTTGCCAGTATTTTATTGAGGATTTTTGCATCAATGTTCATCAAGGATATTGGTCTAAAATTCTCTTTTTTGATTGTGTCTCTGCCCGGCTTTGGTATCAGAATGATGGTGGCCTCATAAAATGAGTTAGGGAGGATTCCCTCTTTTTCTATTGATTGGAATAGTTTCAGAAGGAATGGTACCAGTTCCTCCTTGTACCTCTGGTAGAATTCGGCTGTGAATCCATCTGGTCCTGGACTCTTTTTGGTTGGTAAACTATTGATTATTGCCACAATTTCAGAGCCTGTTATTGGTCTATTCAGAGATTCAACTTCTTCCTGGTTTAGTCTTGGGAGAGTGTATGTGTCGAGGAATGTATCCATTTCTTCTAGATTTTCTAGTTTATTTGCGTAGAGGTGTTTGTAGTATTCTCTGATGGTAGTTTGTATTTCTGTGGGATCGGTGGTGATATCCCCTTTATCATTTTTTATTGTGTCTATTTGATTCTTCTCTCTTTTTTTCTTTATTAGTCTTGCTAGCAGTCTATCAATTTTGTTGATCCTTTCAAAAAACCAGCTCCTGGATTCATTGATTTTTTGAAGGGTTTTTTGTGTCTCTATTTCCTTCAGTTCTGCTCTGATTTTAGTTATTTCTTGCCTTCTGCTAGCTTTTGAATGTGTTTGCTCTTGCTTTTCTAGTTCTTTTAATTGTGATGTTAGGGTGTCAATTTTGGATCTTTCCTGCTTTCTCTTGTGGGCATTCAGTGCTATAAATTTTCCTCTACACACTGCTTTGAATGCGTCCCAGAGATTCTGGTATGTTGTGTCTTTGTTCTCGTTGGTTTCAAAGAACATCTTTATTTCTGCCTTCATTTCGTTATGTACCCAGTAGTCATTCAGGAGCAGGTTGTTCAGTTTCCATGTAGTTGAGCGGCTTTGAGTGAGATTCTTAATCCTGAGTTCTAGTTTGATTGCACTGTGGTCTGAGAGATAGTTTGTTATAATTTCTGTTCTTTTACATTTGCTGAGGAGAGCTTTACTTCCAACTATGTGGTCAATTTTGGAATAGGTGTGGTGTGGTGCTGAAAAAAATGTATATTCTGTTGATTTGGGGTGGAGAGTTCTGTAGATGTCTATTAGGTCTGCTTGGTGCAGAGCTGAGTTCAATTCCTGGGTATCCTTGTTGACTTTCTGTCTCGTTGATCTGTCTAATGTTGACAGTGGGGTGTTAAAGTCTCCCATTATTAATGTGTGGGAGTCTAAGTCTCTTTGTAGGTCACTGAGGACTTGCTTTATGAATCTGGGTGCTCCTGTATTGGGTGCATAAATATTTAGGATAGTTAGCTCCTCTTGTTGAATTGATCCCTTTACCATTATGTAATGGCCTTCTTTGTCTCTTTTGATCTTTGTTGGTTTAAAGTCTGTTTTATCAGAGACTAGGATTGCAACCCCTGCCTTTTTTTGTTTTCCATTGGCTTGGTAGATCTTCCTCCATCCTTTTATTTTGAGCCTATGTGTGTCTCTGCACGTGAGATGGGTTTCCTGAATACAGCACACTGATGGGTCTTGACTCTTTATCCAACTTGCCAGTCTGTGTCTTTTAATTGCAGAATTTAGTCCATTTATATTTAAAGTTAATATTGTTATGTGTGAATTTGATCCTGTCATTATGATGTTAGCTGGTGATTTTGCTCATTAGTTGATGCAGTTTCTTCCTAGTCTCGATGGTCTTTACATTTTGGCATGATTTTGCAGCGGCTGGTACCGGTTGTTCCTTTCCATGTTTAGCGCTTCCTTCAGGAGCTCTTTTAGGGCAGGCCTGGTGGTGACAAAATCTCTCAGCATTTGCTTGTCTATAAAGTATTTTATTTCTCCTTCACTTATGAAGCTTAGTTTGGCTGGATATGAAATTCTGGGTTGAAAATTCTTTTCTTTAAGAATGTTGAATATTGGCCCCCACTCTCTTCTGGCTTGTAGGGTTTCTGCCGAGAGATCCGCTGTTAGTCTGATGGGCTTTCCTTTGAGGGTAACCCGACCTTTCTCTCTGGCTGCCCTTAACATTTTTTCCTTCATTTCAACTTTGGTGAATCTGACAATTATGTGTCTTGGAGTTGCTCTTCTCGAGGAGTATCTTTGTGGCGTTCTCTGTATTTCCTGAATCTGAACGTTGGCCTGCCTTGCTAGATTGGGGAAGTTCTCCTGGATAATATCCTGCAGAGTGTTTTCCAACTTGGTTCCATTCTCCACATCACTTTCAGGTACACCAATCAGACGTAGATTTGGTCTTTTCACATAGTCCCATATTTCTTGGAGGCTTTGCTCATTTCTTTTTATTCTTTTTTCTCTAAACTTCCCTTCTCCCTTCATTTCATTCATTTCATCTTCCATTGCTGATACCCTTTCTTCCAGTTGATCGCATCGGCTCCTGAGGCTTCTGCATTCTTCACGTAGTTCTCGAGCCTTGGTTTTCAGCTCCATCAGCTCCTTTAAGCACTTCTCTGTATTGGTTATTCTAGTTATACATTCTTCTAAATTTTTTTCAAAGTTTTCAACTTCTTTGCCTTTGGTTTGAATGTCCTCCCGTAGCTCAGAGTAATTTGATCGTCTGAAGCCTTCTTCTCTCAGCTCGTCAAAATCATTCTCCATCCAGCTTTGTTCTGTTGCTGGTGAGGAACTGCGTTCCTTTGGAGGAGGAGAGGCGCTCTGATTTTTAGAGTTTCCAGTTTTTCTGTACTGTTTTTTCCCCATCTTTGTGGTTTTATCTACTTTTGGTCTTTGATGATGGTGATGTACAGATGGGTTTTCGGTGTAGATGTCCTTTCTGTTTGTTAGTTTTCCTTCTAACAGACAGGACCCTCAGCTGCAGGTCTGTTGGAATACCCTGCCGTGTGAGGTGTCAGTGTGCCCCTGCTGGGGGGTGCCTCCCAGTTAGGCTGCTCGGGGGTCAGGGGTCAGGGACCCACTTGAGGAGGCAGTCTGCCCGTTCTCAGATCTCCAGCTGCGTGCTGGGAGAACCACTGCTCTCTTCAAAGCTGTCAGACAGGGACACTTAAGTCTGCAGAGGTTACTGCTGTCTTTTTGTTTGTCTGTGCCCTGCCCCCAGAGGTGGAGCCTACAGAGGCAGGCAGGCCTCCTTGAGCTGTGGTGGGCTCCACCCAGTTCGAGCTTCCCGGCTGCTTTGTTTACCTAAGCAAGCCTGGGCAATGGCGGGCGTCCCTCCCCCAGCCTCGTTGCCGCCTTGCAGTTTGATCTCAGACTGCTGTGCTAGCAATCAGCGAGATTCCGTGGGCGTAGGACCCTCTGAGCCAGGTGTGGGATATAGTCTCGTGGTGCGCCGTTTCTTAAGCCGGTCTGAAAAGCGCAATATTCGGATGGGAGTGACCCGATTTTCCAGGTGCGTCCGTCACCCCTTTCTTTGACTCGGAAAGGGAACTCCCTGACCCCTTGCGCTTCCCAGGTGAGGCAATGCCTCGCCCTGCTTCGGCTCGCGCACGGTGCGCACACACACTGGCCTGCGCCCACTGTCTGGCACTCCCTAGTGAGATGAACCCGGTACCTCAGATGGAAATGCAGAAATCACCCGTCTTCTGCGTCGCTCACGCTGGTAGCTGTAGACCGGAGCTGTTCCTATTCGGCCATCTTGGCTCCTCCTCCCATTTGTCTTTCTTTATTCCCTCTTGAACTCCAATTACTCGAACATTTTCTCTTTTGATGCTATCCCATAGATCTTGTAAGCTTTCTTCATTCCTCTTTAGTCTTTTTTTTTTTCTTCTCTACCTGTATATTTTTCACTTATCCTGCCTTTGAGCTCACTCATCGTTTCTTCGCTTGGTTAATTCTGTTGTTGAAGCTCTATTGCATTTTTCACTGCTTTCACTGCACATTCTAGCTAGGGAATTTTTTTTTTTTTTTCCAGCGTCTCTCTTAAATTTTTCTGATAAATTTCTGAATTGTTTATCTGTATTTTCTTGAAGTTCACTGATGATCCTTAACACAGCTAGTTTGATTTTTATTCTGACAGATCACACATCTCCATCTTTTTAGGGTCTGTTATTGGTACCTTATTTTGTCTCTTTGGTGAGGTCATAGTTCCCTGATTGTTCTGAATGCTTGTGGATGTACACTGATGTCTGCTTATTAACGAATTAGTTATTTATTCAAGTCTTTGCAGTGTGACTTTGTGCCCATCCTTCAGTGGGCCTATCTAGAGATCTAAGACTGGCTGTTGTCAAGCCTGTGACTGCTGCAGCCATTTCAGCGGTAGAGGGCGCCTTAAGCCCATTTTTACCACGAAGATGACATGGTGCTCCAGCCAGGATATACCTAATGATGACTCAAGGTAGGGGTACCCTGACTGTGAGGAAGTTGGCCAACGACCCGAACCTGGAAGCCTGTCCCATTTGCTTAGACAGATGCATGTTTCCCCGCAATTCCCTGCACAGATGGGATAGTTCCCCAACTGTAGCAAAAGGAACTGGAGCTGAGACTGGGACCCCTTACACTCTGCTGTAGGATGGAGGCTGGTGAGCTTGCACCAGTGGCCTACATCCATGCTTCCCAGTAATTTCCTGCATGGATGGGACAGTTTACCAACTGCAGGGAGAGGGGCTGGAGCCGAGTCTGGGCCCCTTCACTGCTGTGGGACAGAGGCTGGCAAACCCACCAGGGTAGCCCAGGCAGGCAAGCTTCCCCTAGAAGCTCCCTGCACAGGTGGGGCATTTCCCTGACTGTAGTGAGAGAGGCTAGAGTAGAGAGTGGGATCCTTTAGGACCTGCTTTGGGACAAAGGCTGACAGGTCCTTCAAGGAGGCTCAGACAGACAAATCATTCCTGGGTTGTGGGATATGGGTAAATCTTCTTCTGGGTCCTTGTGCAAGCAGTAATAAACTGGGCCCATGGCTGGGTAGCAGAAGGGTTGGAGCCAATTTACAGGGTAACTTTCAGGTCTGCTGCCAAGACCAATGTCAGTGGGCAGATGAAGCTTGCTGCCTAGGCACTAGTGTGCTTGATTCCTCCTAAATCTTTTTTTTTTTTAATTAGTATTTTGGAAGGTTTGATTTTTGTTTTGTTATTTTTAATCAAATGCATTTATATATCTTAAAAGTTCTTTATATACTACCTTTGTTTCCTGCCATAAACAATACTAAACTGTCTCTTCCCTTTTCCTGTATCATTTGATTTTAGTTACAAGTATTATCTTAATGCCAATCACTGTGTTCATAAATGTACTTGGGTTTATCCCAGTTGATTTGAGAGCTTCAAGTTGTAACTCTTTTTCCAAGTAATACTTAAGAAGTTAGTACACTTAGTTTCACCTTTCTTATAATTTTTTTGGTTTTTAAAAATAATATGTGTTATTTTACATCCCTTGAGCTTATATCATTTTTATACCATTTTGTCAGTTTTATCTCCATTTTTAAAAAATTGACACTTTTAGAGCAGTTTTTAGAGCAGTTTTAGGTTCACAGCAAAATTGAAAGTACAGAGTCCCCATGTACTTGCTGTCTCCACACACGCACAGCATCCCCCCCGTTAGCATTCCCTACCAGAGTGGTACATTTCTTAAAATTAATACACCTCCATTGACACATTGTCTCCCAAAGTTCATAGTTTACATTAGGGTTTACTCTTGGTGTTGTACATGCTGTGGATTTTGATGAAGGTATAATGGCATGTGTCTACCATGATAGTATCTTACAGAATAGTTTCACTGACCTAAAAATCCTCTTTACTCTGCCTGCTCATCCCTTCCTCCCTAAAAACCCTGGCAACCACTGATCTTTTTAACATCTCTGTAGTCTTACCTTTTCCAGATTGTCATAGAGTTGGAATCATATAGTGTGTAGCCTTTTCAGATTGGCTTCTTTCACTTAGTAATGTGCATTTAATCTTCTTTTATGTCTTTTCATGGCTTGTTAGTTCATTTTCTTTTAGCACAAAATGATATTTCACTGTCTGGATGTACCACAGTGTATTCATTCACCTAGTAAAGGCCATCTGCTGCTTCTAAGTTTGGGCAGTTATGAGTGAATAAAGCTGCTGTAAATATGTGTTTGCAGGTTTTTGTGTGGACATGTGTTTGACTAATTTAGGCAAATACCAACAAGTGTGATCGCTGGATCCCATGATAAGAGTATGGTTAGCTTTGTAAGAAATTGCCAAACTATCTTCCAAAGTAGCTTTCCCATTTTGCATTGTCACTAGCAATAAATTAGAGTTCCTATTTGTTCACATTCTCTTTAGCATTTGATATTACCAGTTTTAATCCCCCTTTGGGGGATTAAAAAACTATATTACCACCACAGTTACAACACCACTAACTCGTGTTCTGAGTTTTGGCCATTCTAGTAGGTATGCAGGGTATCTCATTGTTTTTTTGTTCTGTTTTTTCTTTTTGAGATCGAGTCTCGCTCTATCGCCCAGGCTGGAGTGCAGTGGCGCGATCTCGGCTCACTGCAATCTCCACCTCCCGGGTTCAAGTGATTCTCCTGCCTCAGGCTTCTGAGTAGGTGGGATTACAGGCACGCGCCACCATGCGTGGCTAATTTTTGTATTTTTAGTAGAGACGGGGTTTCACCATGTTGATCAAGCTGGTCTCGAACTCCTGACCTCGTGATCCGCCCACCTCAGCCTCCCAAAGTGCTGAGATTACAGGCATGAGCCACTGCACCCAGCCATCTCATTGTTTTAATTAGTGGTTCCTTAATAAGATATGATGTTGATCATCATTTCACATGCTTGTTTGTCATCTGTGTATCTGCCTTCTCTGGTGAAGTGTCTGTTTTGGTCATTTGCCCAGTTTTTAATTGGGTCGTTCTTTTCTCACTGTTGGATTTTAAATGTTCTTTGTATATTTTGGATAACAGTAGTTTATCACATAGGTCATTTGCAAATATTTTTTTCCCAATTTGTGTCTTGTCTTCTCATTCTCTTGATATTCCCATCTTTTAGTTTTAGTTCTAAAGTTAGATGTATTTTCTTCTTACCCCAGTCCATCATGTTACAGCTTATCCAGTTTTTTTGTTTTGTTTTTTTTTGTTTTTTTAATCTGAAACATTCTCTGGTCCACTCAGGCAAGCTCATAGGAGAGAGATTTTCTAAGGTCTTACAGGTTTATGACTTTGTGGTCGTACACTTGAAGGACACTTTGGCTGGCTATAAAATACTCAGCTCACATTTTTTTCTTTGAGTAACTTAAAAATGTTACTTCATTGTTTTCTAACATAAATGTTGCTGTTGAAATTCGGTACCAGTCTGATTTTCTTTCCCTTGTAGGTGACTTGGCTTTGTATTTAACTTTATTATTGTGATAACTTTACATATTTTTGTTTCCCATGTTTAAATGATCTGGATTTCCCTGGACTATTAGGAAGAGATTCCTATGAAAGAATAAATCAGGATAGCTTTATCAGTTTACATTTGAAGGTCTTTCTCCTCTGTTGTTTTTGGAGTGTGTGTGTAGCTCCTTTGTCTCGTAGGTAATCCTTGGTCAAAAAGGTTTTTCTTTTCCAGCGCACTGTTTCTGAGAGCTTTACATGCTTAGCATCCCATCATAGGATACTTATTTTCTCTCTCTAGTATTTTCTGTCAACTGTTTCCTTTGGAACTTTGCCACTCCCTTCCCTCTTTATATCTTATCCTTCCTTCTCCCTGTCTTCATTGCCCTGCAGTTTTGTTTGAGACTTCCGAGTTTTTTTCCCCTTAGGGTGAGACTCCGTCCTTCTGGTGAGGGCTCTTTGTTACGTACTCCTCTAAGATGTTTGAGGGTTTAGAGCTTCGTAGCACTCTTTGCTGCCTATAGGACTGACTATACAGGTTTTTGCAGTCACCTGCAAGTTGGAGCCTGTGAAAACCTTTTGCTTTCTCTCCGTTTATTCTTAGATTTGCTCTCCGAGTTTTCTCCAAAGATAGAGTCCTGTGCTTGTGGAGTATTTCTTGGTGATTTTTGGGTTTTGTTGCTTTGTAGGGTACCTCTGTTGTAGCTTTAATTTCCTGCTGCTTTTGTACATCTGGTGATCATGCATTGTGAGCAGTTTATCCACATTCTCTTAGTATTCTGAGAATTATGGAGATTCTCTTTTACTTAGTTTCATTGAGATCTTCTCATATCCCTGTTGGTATATCTGGTTTTTAGGAGTTATCTTTGGGGGATTAAAAGACTATACTGCCACCACAATTATAACACCACTAACTCATTATTTTATTAGTTTAATTGTGACTAATATGTAAGGAGCTTAGATTCTCCCCCCCTATGTTTGAAAGATTAGTTTAGGGCTACTTAAGCATACAAAATTGCATATGCTTAATAGCTGAATAAAGGAATTTTAAAACATCTATATGTGAACTGGTGAGGAGTTGAATATAAATGTAGAATGTGATTTTTGGTAACGTTTTTCTTGATTTTAAATGCAAATATGCATCATTTATATCTGGTTACATTGTTTAATGGATATAGTCTCCTAATAGATATTTTAGGTTAGTTGCAGTATGGTACATGAAGTTACCTATAAGTAAATAGCTTTTAAAGTAAACATAAAAAAAGTGTATTTTTATTGAAATATGCATAATTAAATTCCTTACTTGATGGAAATAAATATGTATAGCAAAAAGTTAAAGGAAAAAAAGAAGTCATTTTGTTTATTTTCACCTGTAATATATATTATATATAGTTTATATATATAATGTATATTTTTAATTTTTGGATATTTTATGAAAGAAATGTGAAAATTTAATTTGTTAGTTGGGATTTTCTGTAATTTTGGACTTGCCTGATTGTCTTCCACATAGCAGGTGCTAGATAAATACTTTCAATGTGAACATTGTCAGAAGTGACAGTATTCATATTTTATAATTTTATTAGTAAAGATTATATAGTCTGCTGAATCTAACTTCAAACTATGGAGATCCAAAATAAAATTATCAATTTCTCTTAGGAACTGAAGTTAAAAGATGAAGAATGTGAGAGGCTTTCAAAAGTGCGAGATCAACTTGGACAGGAATTGGAAGAACTCACAGCTAGTCTATTTGAGGTTGGTCTATTTACATCTTGGCCAACAGCAACATCTTGACTTTTATATATTGACAAAATTGTATTTTGAGGGAATCTTGAAAAATATTTGCTTAGCTTCATGTATATTTATAAGTCCTCTAAGCAAAAGAGAAATCTTTAAGCAATGTAGAGTTTACAACTTAAGATGATGTGAAAAGAAATAAAAAACATCTATGGGCCACCAGTATCAGATTATTTAAAAATGTATGTGTGCAAAGAAAGGAGGCAAATTTTAGTATTGATTTTTATTTTACCAAGTATTTACGGGCTACTTTAGATTAACTACATATGACTGTACAACTAAGAGGGCAAACTCTTTGAGATAGTCATCTTACATGGGATGATTTGAGAAATGTTAGAAGGCACATCTACTTGTAAGAAGGCATACTTTTTATATCCAGCCCGCCACCAGGAAAAATTTCTACCTAACTGGAGCAGTGTTTCTCCATAGGGGTGCCACTAACACTGTAGGACGTTTAGTGTCCTTGGTGTTTTAGTCAGGGTTCTCCAGAAAAACAGAGCCTATATACATATACATGTATAGAGAGATACAGAGAGGGAGAGAGAGGGACAGAGGCACTCATTATTATAGGGAGTTGGCTCTTGCTGTTATGGAGGCTGGCAAGTCCCAGGGAGCTGCAGTGGGAGTCAGCAAACTGGAGGCCCAGGAGGGCTGATGGTGCACTTCCAGTCCAACTTTGAAGGTCTGAGAACTGGGAAGAGCAAATGTTTCAGTTTGAGTCTGAAGGCAGAAAAAAAATCTCTTCCTTGAGGGAGCGGCACCCTTTTTTGTTCTATTCAGGCCATCAACTGATTGGATGAGGGTCACCCACATTCTAGAGGGCAGTCTACTTTACTCAGTCTACCAATGTAAATGTTATTCTTATCCAGAAACATTCAGGATAATGTTTGACTACATATTCGAGCACCCTTTGATTCAGTCAAGTTGACGTACACAATAAACCATTATAATAGGCTTTGCTCAGAAAAGTGCTGGTAATACCCCCGGTCATTTTGACAGCATACAGATACCCCTGGGGGTGAGGTGAGGGTAGTACTTCCATGAGTAAGAACTGTTGCTGTAAAGTGTCTCCTTTGGGTTAAGACCTTGAGTCTTTAGAAGTTCCTTAACAAAAACATTGATGTGTTACTGGAATGGCTAATGCCATTATCATTTAACGATATATATATGTTTTTTTCCTAAAGATTTGTTCTTAAAACTTTTATTATAATAAACTTGGGGGGGTGGAAATTCCATCACCTTTTGTTATTATTTATTCATAATCTATTTCACAGTCTCAGGTATGTATGTATTCTTACTTAGTTGTAATTTAATATTTTGTGTTTTTCTAAATAACATTTTTAATGTTGCTGCACCATCACTAATTGTAACGATAGTCATAATCTACTAGGTGCCTGTTCCACAACTTTTATCATTACAAGTAACATTGCCCTGAATGTCTTTAGACATGTAGGGCTTTCCATGCCTTCTCTGCTCCATACCCCTTTGCCTTCTTTTCTGTCTTTTTGGGGTCATTTTCTTTCATGAACATTTTAAAATTAATCTGTTTATTTATTTAGCTAGCTAGTCATCAGAGATGAGAGGAGAATAAATTTAAGGATAGGAAGAGTGGAAAGTTAAAGAGCTAGAATAGAAGCTATGTGACTTGTTACATTTCTGAATAGAAGGTTATACAGAAGCATTAGATTTTTCTTCCAGTATTGTCTGACTGGAAGAAAATTTTGTAGTGATATGGATATTAGGTAAGAAAGCAAATATATTAAGCTATTTATGTTAATTTTGATTTCCTGACTACTTGCATTTAATTTAGCTAGCCCTGCTTAGTTTCACCCATCTGCACATGTATGTATGTTCTGTTACATGAAATAGAAGTAGAAAAAACAGAAAGAAACTTCTCCCTGTAAGTAGCAGGATGTGAAGGGCCAGAAATGCAGCTTAGGCAATAGGCAATAAGTGAAAAAGCATATCTAAAAAATATAGTTTGGAGTCTCTAACCTTTTCTAACCCAGTGGTGGCTGTTAGCATTGACACTGTGGCTACTTTCTGGAAAACAAAGTACATTGATTAAAGATGATTTTGGTAATGAAGAAAGTTGTATTCGAACCAATTATTTATGAATCGTGGAAAAAGCGCTCAAAGTTTTTATTTGGTCTTAATTGTGCCTTCATGATCTGTTTACCATTGTCTTATGAAAAGATTCTTTTTTTGCACTTTATATGTGTGTGTTTGCATATCTTTTTAGGAATTAAAGATTATTCTGAATAAACTCAATATGCACAGTTTTGGTAAGTCTGACATGTATAATAGGAGTCTATTATCCTAATCTTCAATATAATTATACTTTGTATGTAGCAAAGTTGAGTTTTAAAAGTATCAAATACTTAATAAACCTCAAAAGTTATGTTTTTCTTCTAACGCCTCCAATTTTGAGATAATATAAAATTAAGTCAGTTGAAAGAATACAAAGCAGTCTATATCTTACATGGAGAAAAAAAGATAGTAGTCTTAAGATGTTTATGTTTTATAAGCCAGTTTTAGTAAATGTTTATGATATGTCTAGTTTTCTCCCAACAATACTATGATGCATATAGGGCAGATTATTATCATTTTATCTGAGAAGAAAAGTGAGGCAGAGAGGCTAATGAGCAATGCAGGCACTCATATTCATGATCCTAACTCTTGCTTTATCTACTGTGAAAATCATAAATGGCATTTCTCTTTGTGTCAAACCATGGAAAAGAAGTCATCACCGGGGCCTCTTATTTCTTCATTCCACACTCAAGTGATCAGTTAAGTCTTTTGATGCTACCTCCAGGACATAGAGCACATTGCCTTCCAAGCCACCATCGTTTGTTAGCTAAATCAATAGATACCAAACTTTTTGATCCTGTACCTGATCAGTACGAGAAAAATTTGAGCATGTTACCTCCATTATGATGAAGATAACTAATATTTATTGAGAGTTCCCTATGTGCTAGGCACATATAGGTAGTGTTCTATATGAACATATATGTGTATTTATAAATTATACACACTTGCTAATGGACATACTAATGTGTTAACATACATTGTAAATACAAGTTTTAAAAGGTAAAACAATAAAAATGCTTTAACATTTTTATTATGGTACAAAAATATTCTCATTAAAACAGTTATACACACATGTTTTATATATACTTAGTGAGAGGAGTGTGATTGAATATGTTACTTTATTTTAGAAGATCTTGTTTTAACAGTTTATTATCCAGATGAAGGTCTGGTCTAAGTTCCATTTTCAAAAATAGATCTAATACTGCTGATAACTCACACATCTATTGGTCTAATATAAGATACATCTTTCCCTATTTTAAATCATTATTTTGTCATTATAGATTTCATCGTGCAGAAATCGGTAGAATATACTTACACAAACCAAGATGTGGTAAAACCTAGATGGTACAGCCTATTACACACCTTGGCTATATGATATTGCTTATTGCTCCTGGGCTACAAACCTGTACAACATGTTACTATACTGAATACTGTTGGCACTTGTGATACAATGGTAAATATTTACGTATCTAAACATAGAAAAAGTAAAGTAAAAATAAATATGGTATAATTTTATGGGACCACTGTCATATATGCAGTCCATTGTTCACTGAAATGTTATGTGGTGCATGACTGTATATATGCATCCAACATCAAAGCACCTAAATGTGTAAAACAAACTGACAGATCTGAAGGCTGATACAGTAATACATTAATAATAGGTGACTTCAATACCACAGTCTCTCTAATGAGTAGATTATTCAGACAGAAAATTAATAAGGAAACAGCAGAACTGCATAACGCTATAGACCAAATGGATCTAACAGATACGTATGGAACTTTTAACACAACAGCAAAAGAATATACATTCTTCTCAGGTGCACATGAAACATTCTCCAGTATAGTTCATGTTAGGTCACAAAACAAGTCTCAGATTTAAGAAGATCAAAATCATTCTAAGAATCTTTTCCACTCACAATGGAATTCAATTAGGAATCAATAATAGAAAACAGGAAAACTCAAATGTGTGGAAACTAAACAATGATATCCTTTTGAACAACCTTTGAGTCAAAAAATCAAAAGGGAACTTGAAAAGTTTCTTGAGACGAATAAAACTGAAAACACAACGTACCAAAACTTAAGAGATGCAGAAAAAGCAGTACTAAGAGGGATAAAGGCCTACATTAAAAAAGAAGAACAATCTCAACCTAACTTTATACCTCAAGGAATTAGAAGGAGAACAAACTAAGTCCAAACTTAGCAGAGGGAAGGGAATAACAAAGATCAGAGTAGAAATAGAGAATAGGAAAATAATAGAAAATATTAAGAAAACCCGAGTTTGTTTCTTGAAAAAAATAAAAACCCTTAGCTAGACAAACCAAGAGAAGAGAGGACTCAAATCAGAAATGAAAGAGGAGGTATTACAATGGATGCTTCAGAAATAAAAAAGATCATAAGTGACTTTTATGAACCACATGCCAATCAATTGGATAATCTAGAAGAAATAGATAAATTCCTAGAAACTGACTCAGTTTTCTGGAATCAAATTCTGGAAAATGGAATCAAGAAGTAGAAACAAAAAAGCCCAAGATTAGATGGCTTCACAGGTAAATTCTACCAACATTCAAAGAAGAATCAGTGCCAATTCTTTTTACACTCTTACAAAAATAGAAGAGGGAACCCTTCCAAACTCATTTTATGAGGCCAATATCACTCTGATACCAAAGCCAGTAAATGTACCACAAGGAAAAAACTATGGGCCAATATTCTCAATGGACATAGGTGCAGAAGCTCTTAATAAAATGTTAGAAAATCAAATTCAGTAACATATTAAAAGGATTATACACTGTGATCAAATGGGATTTGTCCCTGGGATGCAAGGATGCATCAACATAGGCAAATCAATCAGTGTGATAAACCACAGTAATAGAATGATATAATAATATACATTATAATCTTAATAGAAGCAGAAAAAGCATTTGACAAAATTCCACATTCATTTATGCTAAAACTCTCAACAAAATAGATATAGGAACTTACTTTAAGACAATAAAGACCATATATGGAAACCCATAGCTAACAATCATAATCAGTGGGGGAAATTGAAAGCTTTTCCTCTAAGATCTGGTATAAGACAAGGATGCCCACTCTTCACCATTTCTGTACAGCACAGTTCTGGAATGTTAGAGCAATCAGTCAAGAAAAAGAAAAGGCAACCAAATTGGAAAGGAAGAAATAATCTCTGTGTGCAGATGACATGATCACAAGTGTAGAAAATTCTAAAGATTCAACAACAAAAAAGTTAGAACTAATAAATGAATTTGATAGGGTTGCAGGATACAAAAATTAATGATGTTTTTATACATGGACAACCAGTTACCTGAAAAGGAATTTAAGAGAACAATCTCATGATTTCAGTGTCAAAAAGCATCAAAAAGAATAAAATACTTAGGAATAAACCTAACCAAAGAGGCAAAAAGACTTGTATACTGAAAATTATAATACAGTTAATGAAGGGAATTAAGACACAGATGGAAAGAGATTTGTGTTCATTGGTTGGAAGAATTAATACTGTTAAAATGTCTATTCTACCCAAGTGATTTACAGATACAATGCAATCCCTGTGAAAATCCCAATGGCATTTTTTACAGAAGTAGGAAGTTCATATGGAGCTACAAAAAACGTTAATAGCCAAAGTAATTTTTTTTTTTTTCTGAGATGGAGTCTTGCTCTGTTGCCTAGGCTGGAGTGCAATGGTGCGATCTTGATTCACTATAACCTCCGCCTCCTGGGTTCTAGCTTTTCTCCTGCCTCAGCCTCCTGAGTAGCTGGGATTACAGGTGTGCACCACCACGCCCAGATAATTTTTGTATTTTTAGTAGAAACGGGTTTCACCATGTTGGCCAGGTTGGTCTTGAACTCCTGACCTCAGGTGATCTACCTGCCTCAGCCTCCCAAAGTGCTGGGATTACAGGCGTGAGCCACTATGCCCAGCCCCAAAGTAATCTTGAGCAAGAAAAATAAAGCTGGATGCATCACACTTCCTGATTTCAAAGTACATGACAAAGTTACAGCAGTAAAAACAGTATGGCACTGATATAAAAACAGACATGTGGACCAATAGAAGAGAATAGAGAGCCCAGAAATGACACATTTTTGGTTAGCTGACCCTCAACAAAAATGCTAAGGACACCTAGTGGGGAGTAGATAGTCTTATCAATAAATGCTGCTGAGAAAATTGGATATCCACATGCAAATGAACGAAATTAGACCCTGATCTCACACCATAAAGAAAAATCAATTCAAATGGATTAAAGACTTACACATAAGACCTGAAACTGTAAACTCAGAAGAAACAAGGAAAAAGCTTCTTGACATTGGTCTGGGCAGTGATTTTTTTGGATGTGACACCAAAAGCACAGGCAACAAAAACAAAATGGACAAGTGGGAGTACATCAAACTAAAAAGCTTCTGCCCAGCAAAAAACAGTCAACAAAATGAAGAAGCGGCATACTGAATGGGAAAACATTTGCAAACCGTGTATCTGATAAGGAGTTAATATCCAAAGTATATAAGGCATGCAGTAGCAAAAAACAACCCAATTGAAAGATGGGCTAGGGGCCTAAATAGACATTTCTCCTAAGAAGACATACAAATGGCCAACCGGTATATGATAAGATACCCAGCATCAGTAATCATCAGGTAAATGCCAGTCACTCCCCAATGAGATAGCACCCCACACTGGTTAGAATGGCTATTATCAAAATACAAAAGATAGTAAATGTTGGCAAGGATGTGGAGAAAAGGAACTTGTCCACTATTGGTGGGAATGTAAATTGGTACAGCCATTATGGAAAACAGTATGGAAGTTTCTGCTCAAAAAATTAAAAATAAAGCTACCGCATGATCCAGCAATCCCACTTCCAGATATATATCCAAAAGAAAATTGCTATCCTGATGAGTTATCTGTGCTTCCATGTTCATTGCAGCATTATTCACAGTAGCAAAGTTATGGAAACAAGTTATATGTCTATTGATGAATGGATAAAGAAAATGTGGGGGGTATGTGTGTGTATATGAATACTACTCAGTCTTAAAATGGAAATCCTGCCTTTTGCAACAACATGAGCGAACCTGGAGGACATTTTGCTAAGTGAAATAAGCAAGACAGAAAGACAAATGCTACATTATCTCACTTATATGTGGAATCTAAAATAGTCGAGCTCATAGAAGCACAGAGTAGATTGGTGGTTGTCAGGGGCTGGAAAGTGGGAGAAACGGGAGATGTCGGTCATTGGTACAAAGTGTCAGTTATGCAGGATAGATAAATTCTGAAGACCCAATGTACAGCACGACTATATCGTATGTTACAAATTTGCTAAGAAGGTAGATCTTGTTTGCGCACCACCTCCCCTCCAAAAAAAAGGTAACTGAGAGGTGCTGGATATGCTAAAAGAAAAACAAAATGATATGTATATTTCAGTGTTCATAAATATTTATTAAAACAGCCACACTAATTTGTGTATTGTCTATGGCTGCTTTCATATTGCAACAGCAGAGCTGAGGAGTTGCAGCTGAGGCTGTATATGTATACATAGTGTTTGACTCTTTACAGAAAAAGTTTACCGACTCCTGGTATAGGTGATACTTACATCATTTTCAGCTTTGGAAGGGCAGTGTGATGGAAAATTTTCAAACTTTTTTTGAGTCTACCTTTTGATGTTTTTTGTCAATTTTTAAAAAATTCTGTAAAAATTCTGCATGTCATCTTTTTAGCAACTGATCCTGCCCCAGTCTAGTGCTCATCTTTCCTTTTGGGGCTCCAATTATATGTATGTTATACCTTTTCACTGTAACCCTTATGTCTGTAGTGGAAAAGTCACCTAAAATTTCACATTACTCTAAGTTTACTTCACTATTTTGTTCTCAGATACCTTCAAACATATTTTAAAAACAAACAAAAAACTTTTCTAGCTTTTCTAATCGTTCTCCGTTGGAGGTTTGGTACAAATTGCATAATCCACTATTAATGAAAACAGAGTCCATTTCCAAAAATTTAGTCAACTATTCTCTCCATAGTATGAATTACTTTTTCATTTAAAGTTAAAATGTTACTTATCTTGAAGGGTCAGATTAGCTGTGTTTATTATTTTTAAAACATTGCCAGATAGTTTTGTGTTGACAGCCACTTGTCCCAGAAAAATTCAGCAAATCTGAAACATTTGTTATTTTTAAAAGGAGAATATTTAACTCATTAAATTTGACAGCTCTTAAGGACTTTGCCAAGATAGCCAGAATAATAGTGCATGGAATATCTTCATGGTTAATATCATTTTGCTATAAATCATTGATAGTAAAGATTCTCCTATTTAAACTAGTATAAGCTGCAAATTCACATTCATGGGCACACACAAACTGCAGTGTTACAATACTGTAAAAGCTAATGAACAAACGGGAAACAAACAGTCAAACTCTGATGTAAAGAACTTCCACCTTTCCATTCTACCACTGTGCATTTTGACAGATCTAGTGAGGGTGCCATTGTCAAACTATTCATTAAATATCTTTGAAGCTCATTTCCTTCCTTCCTCTGATAAATTGTAAACTAAAGTTCTAAAATGTAAGTTCTTAAATCTCGGGGCACTATCTCAAGCACCCTATATATGCTTCCAGTCCATTCTTAATCCCTTACAGGGATTATTCTATACAAGGGCATAATCTTTTAAAAATAAAATGATCATGTCTTCCTTAAAAAAACTGTAAGGCTTCATATTGCATTTAGAATAAAACCCACAATTCTTATTCCGATGTTTTATTTGGTTAATACATATAAACAGAATGTAAGCTCCTTAAGAGCAGGGACTTTGTCCTTTCCCAGTACGTAATCAGCATCTGGAGCAGTACCTCACAAGGAGATGACATGAGTAAATGTCTCATGAATAAACATTATATGAATAAAAAGGAATTAAATACCTAGAGTTTCATATTTGTGGTACTAGAAGATTAAAACTCTATTAAAGGGTAAACTGATTTGCCTTTTTAGGTTGCTCTTCACAAAATTGTCACATAATAAAATTTTGGGAATGTTTTTATTGAAAGCTCTAAGGCTTCTTAGCTGTCATTACTATAAACTGCAACATTATTGGTGTGTTAATGTTTTTACTTGTCCCTCCTGTATGTCTTTGCTTTGACTAATAAGAACATATATAGTGACCACATTATAAAAAGCTGACTGCAAAGGAGTTGGCTTTGACACATTGGTCATTGTTTGCCTTCGTCACATTCACAGTCCTTACGCAAGTATCTATCCGGATGATTGATCTCAACTTGGCTGCCTCAGTGGTAATAGGTCCTAAAAGAAGGCACCTATTCCTAATGTCTCATAGTTTGTCTCTGTTGTCAACTGCTGCTTCCATAGTTGACATTGAATACTTAACTTCAGGCTAACTTTTGGTAGTATATCTTTGCTTCAATTGTAAACATTTGGCAAGAACTTTTTGAAAACAAATGCTACTTTGTTTCTAAAATTTGAGATGTTAACTTTTTCAGGAAGCTCATAAAATGGTGAGAGAAGCAAATATCAAGCAGGCAACAGCAGAAAAACAGCTAAAAGAAGCACAAGGAAAAGTGAGTTTTTGCAGCTCTTAATAGTATAAAATAAATTTGTGATAACTGTTTTAAAGATACCTTAACATCTGTTGGATTTTGTTCTGATCGTAAAGTAGTGCTTGTTTTCAATTTGGAAACTACAGAAAAATAGAAGAAAATAGCTACTATGTAGGTATAATTAATAGTAAACATTTCGTGTCCATTTATATGAGAACCAAATGATTTAAAACCTTGTAAATCACATGAATTATCCAAAGGATTATAGAATCACATTTTAATGTTAATACTTAGTTTTTAAATTCACTGAGAAAAGCCACCTAAATGTTATTAGATTTTACTGTTTTAGGAGTGAACTTCTACAACTAATCATAAGCTATTATATTTTGAGGATTTTGAAAATTCACATAAATGTTAGATATTTTGGTAATTTTCACAGGCTCATTTGACGTTGTTAATAATAGATGAATCCAAACCATATGGAAACATCAAAAAACTTGATTTTAGTTTCTTTTTATTACTCCACAGGAAATACAAATTAAACTTACTTTTCATCTTTGAAAGTGTTTTGACCAGATTGCTAATATTTAGCTGCATATGTCATGAAACGTATTTAATGTATGTGACTATGTTGATTTCTTTCCAAGATTGATGTACTTCAAGCTGAAGTAGCTGCATTGAAGACACTTGTATTGTCCAGTTCTCCAACATCACCTACGCAGGAGCCTTTGCCAGGTGGAAAGACACCTTTTAAAAAGGGGCATACAAGAAATAAAAGCACAAGCAGTGCTATGAGTGGCAGTCATCAGGACCTCAGTGTGATACAGCCAATTGTAAAAGACTGCAAAGAGGTAACTCATCAAGGACTGTCCCCTCTGACTCTGTTGATACTTGTTAGTTCTCATCACTGAGGTGTCAGTTATCATTTTTGCCAGCAAAATTTTTAGTACAAAATAATGCAGTATTAAGATGGGGGAGGCTTTATCTAGAGCTGGCTGCTTTCAGGGATTCTTCAGTTCCATTTTCTACCTGGCTGACCTTGGAGTACCTGCTGGAAACTTGGTAAGTTTCTTAATCTCAGTATTTCATTAAGGGAGGAAACTGTCATGTGTTGTCTAGAGGAGAGTGGGTGGCTTTAATGATCTGGCTAGTCAAAATTTATTGCTAGAGTGCGCTTACAAAGTATGGATATAAGAAATATGTGAAAATAAGATGATTTTCTTAAAGATCAATACATTGCTTTTATTTAAATTCAGAGAGAATTTTATGTCAGCAAGGGAGTCCTAGAGTTAATTTAGATAATTAAGCAACAAAAAAATAGAAATAATGGTAGCCTTACAATGACATAAGGCTGGAAGACATTTTGCTAAGTGAAATTTCAAGTTATAGTAGAACAATTAGTGTCATTTTTGATCCCAAATTAGGTTTCACAGTTCAGCCAGTCTGTTATTCAGACACTTACAACTATGTAAGGCCACCATTATCATGTATCCATAACAATTAAAAATTTAAAAACGAAATAATGGGCCGGGCATGGTGGCTCATGCCTGTAATCTCAGCACTTTGGGAGGCCAAGGCCGGAGGATCACCTGAGGTTGGGAGTTCGAGACCAGCCTGACCAACATGGAGAAACCCTATCTGTACTAAAAATATAAAATTAGCTGGGCATGGTATCTCATGCTTATAATCCCAGCTACTCAGGAGGCTGAGGCAGGAGAATCCCTTGAACCTGGGAGGCGGAGGTTGCGGTCAGCTGAGATTGCGCCATCACACTCCAGCCTGGGCAACAAGAGCGAAACTCTGTCTCAAAATCATAATAATAATAATAGTCTTATTTTAAAAGATATGTTACAAAGATAACTGAAATAATATATAAATATTTTGAGCTGTTTAGAGTAAAAATTTTTAATCATTGTATACTGTGAGAATGCATTTCTAAGAGGATTGATCAATAATTTATGAAGCTTTCCCATTTCTTCTTAGAAGCCATCTTTTACATTGTTAAATTCAAGTCCATCATTAATCTTGAAGAAATGTGTGTGCTTGTTAAATTTTTGTATGGAAGCCAGGAGTTTATTAAATGGAATAACCAATGTTAACCTGTTTTAATTGAATTGCATTTTGACGAATTATCAATAAAAATGATGCTGGTAAGAGAGAAGTTCAATACTTGGTTAAATCTGAATGTAACCAAATCCAAAATTCACATTGGTTTCTGTTAAATATTTAAGAAACTTCTTTGTCCTAACTTTAATTCTAATTCTTTGGAATTTAAATAGCAATTTTAATTGCCTGGTACAACTTGTATTTTTGGTGTTTCTTACTCAGTATGTGTAAGTAATTATGTACTTTCCCCCCTATTTACACTAACAAAATTATAAGTGTCTTCTCATGGAACATGGTAAAGATTCATTTTTAGTTTTTGAAATCCCTTAAAATGTGCATAGGCAGCATATAACTTCAAAATAATAACCTTTGCTCTTCAGGTACGTGTTATAGTCTGATGTTTCATGAAAAACTTGTCAAAAAGTCTTACTAGGCAAAGGAATTACATAAATTTGACCTGTGTAAGTCTTAGAAAAATATGTAACAATCTGGAAGAAAATTAAGCATGTCCGTGTTTTTGTAGAAAATATGATGGGGCACTCAGTTATGACATTAGCAACATGTCTTCTGTAAACATTTAAAATACACATGCATGCATGCAGACATACATGCCCAGTGCAAGGCTTTGGGATCAAGCCACTTAGATTTGAATTCGGACTTTACTGCTTTCTTGCTATGCAATCTCCGGCAAATTACAAATGGCAATCATAATATCTGTCTTGCACAGTTGTGAGGATTAAATGCTTGTAAAGTGCTTACGGTGGTTCCTGGCAGAGTCAGCTCTTAATAAATGGTTTAAATTACAGCCTTTAAACTAGAATCTTTCCTTAGAATACCACTTACCTGCTTTGGGGTTTATGTCCTTTTTCTTTTCTTTCTTTTTTTTTTTTTTTTTTTTTTTAATAAATTTGCATCTTTCTTTTTTTTTTAATTATTGTTATACTTTAAGTTTTAGGGTACATGTGCACAATGTGCAGGTTAGTTACAGATGTATACATGTGCCATGCTGGTGCCCTGCACCCACTAACTCGTCATCTAGCATTAGGTATATCTCCCAATGCTATCCCTACCCCATCCCCCCACCCCACAACAGTCCCCAGAGTGTGATGTTCCCCTTCCTGTGTCCATGTGTTCTCCTTGTTCAATTCCCACCTATGAGTGAGAATATATGGTGTTTGGTTTTTTGTTCTTGCGATAGTTTACTGAGAATGATGATTTCCAGTTTCATCCATGTCCCTACAAAGGACATGAACTCATCATTTTTTATGGCTACATAGTATTCCATGGTGTATATGTGCCACATTTTCTTAATCCAGTCTATCATTGTTGGACATTTGGGTTGGTTCCACGTCTTTGCTATTGTGAATAATGCCGCAATAAACATACGTGTGCGTGTGTCTTTATAGCAGCATGATTTATAGTCCTTTGGGTATATACCCAGTAATGGGATGGCTGGGTCAAATGGTATTTCTAGTTCTAGGTCCCTGAGGAATCACCACACTGACTTCCACAATGGTTGAACTAGTTTACAGTCCCACCAACAGTGTAAAAGTGTTCCTATTCCTCTACATCCTCTCCAGCACCTGTTGTTTCCTGACTTTTTAATGATTGCCATTGTAACTGGTGTGAGATGGTATCTCATTGTGGTTTTGATTTGCATTTCTCTGATGGCCAGTGATGGTGAGCATTTTTTCATGTGTTTTTTGGCTGCATAAATGTCTTCGTTTGAGAAGTGTCTGTTCATGTCCTTCGCCCACTTTTTGATGGGGTTGTTTGTTTTTTTCTTGTAAATTTGTTTGAGTTCATTGTAGATTCTGGATATTAGCCCTTTGTCAGATGAGTAGGTTGCGAAAATTTTCTCCCATTTTGTAGGTTGCCTGTTCACTCTGATGGTAGTTTCTTTTGCTGTGCAGAGGCTCTTTAGTTTAATTAGATCCCATTTGTCAATTTTGTCTTTTGTTGCCATTGCTTTTGGTGTTTTAGACATGAAGTCCTTGCCCATGCCTATGTCCTGAATGGTATTGCATAGGTTTTCTTCTAGGGTTTTTATGGTTTTAGGTCTAACATTTAAGTCTTTAATCCATCTTGAATTGATTTTTGTATAAGGTATAAGGAAGGGATCCAATTTCAGCTTTCTACATAGGGCTAGCCAGTTTTCCCAGCACCATTTATTAAATAGGGAATAAATTTGCATCTTTCTTAAGAAAGAGTAACAGACTTAGGTCATTAGTGTGTGCTCATATAAATCAATATATGTTGGGAACAAATACATTTGAGAAGTTAATATTAAACAGACTGTTAAATTGGAGATGTGACATCTCTTATTAGAGCCAGGAGGTAAGTGAATTAGGAACAAAGATTAAAGAGTCTTATTTAGAAGATAAATGGAATTGAGGAAGTGTCCTTTTTCTCAGTAACTTTACAAAGAAAATGCATTTGAAAATGTAAGTATTGCTTATATGCTAATATTATTTATCCTGTTGCTTTTGCTTTGATTCAAGGAATTTATGAAT
This sequence comes from Homo sapiens, assembly GCF_000001405.40. Classification (NCBI taxonomy): domain Eukaryota; kingdom Metazoa; phylum Chordata; class Mammalia; order Primates; family Hominidae; genus Homo; species Homo sapiens. The sequence continues at coordinate 69,799,113 of NC_000012.12, forward strand.
TGGGCTGAAAAAAATATTCACATGGAGATTGCCCTTATACACCTTAAAAGGAAGTCTGTAGGAAGGCTTGGCTACACTCAGCTCTATGTTACATTTTTGTAGACTACTTGCACATCTGATTGAGCTATCCTAGAGGCAGTCTGTAGCTGTAGTCAGTGCATCATTTATGGTGTATCCAGTGCCTCTGGAGAAGAGCAGCTTAGAGCTGTAGGATGGGGGAGACTGCTCTAGTTTGGGTGGCTGATGTCAGTGCAACTTTGTATTCCAGCAGATGCTATTGAGCTGGACTGAGGGAATCTGAGAATCTGTAGGGAAGAATACTTGGGGAAAATTTATTAGGGAGGTGAGAAAGAGAGGGATAGCTGGAGGAGTGAATAGGAAGGCAGGTGCCAGCAGTGGATTATTATTGATGCCTAAGATGGTAGTTACTGGGTGCCAAAAATATGTCAAAAATATCTAAATAAATGTTGTATTTTAAGGTAGTTTAGAAGGCTTTACGTATTCTTTTTTTTTAATCCTGTTGGTTATGCAATAACATTTTGACAATTCTTTTTGGAATGCCTTCAAGTTATAGTAGAACAATTAGTGTCATTTTTGATCCCAAACTAGGTTTCACAGTTCAGCCAGTCTCAGTTTATTCAGACACTATAATTAATTAGGTTCCAAATTACCTTTTTATTGTTTTCAGAAAAGACTTGTCATCATTTATTATATTCTGAATAGTGTGCCACCTGTGTCTTAAGAGGAACTCCAGCATTTTTGGTGGGGATGGGAGAAGGAGCTCAGAGTGAGGATAATAGTAGTGTTATTGAACATGGTAGTGAATGATGCTTGGAAAAAGGCTAATTGGTTATTTGAGAGTCATTTTTTAAAAAGGAAAACTGCTACCAGGTATTATGCTACCAGGTATTATTTGAGAGTATTTTTTAAAAAGGAAAACTGCTACCAGGTATTGAACCACCAAGAGTGGTTCAATTTATTATTTTAAATGAAGAGCTTTTTTTCAGTGATGTTTAAATTAGTTTTGGTTTTGTAAAGCGGTTTTTATGTTTATACGTTTTAAAACATGTTTTTGTGTTTTCCTTTGGTTTGTTAGGCTGACTTATCCTTGTATAATGAATTCCGATTGTGGAAGGATGAGCCCACAATGGACAGGACGTGTCCTTTCTTAGACAAAATCTACCAGGAAGATATCTTTCCATGTTTAACATTCTCAAAAAGTGAGGTAATTTTTTTTCATTTTAGTAGGAATTCATTATAGTTGTTTCTGTACTTCTTTTAAACTAAATCATATTACATATTTTAATATCTCTTACATAAATAAGTTATTATAAAATGTCATGTTTTGCTATTTTTGCCATTCCGTACTAGAATCATGATAATTTCTTGGCATTCAGTTACTGAACATCTTTTCTTATATGAGCAGAGGATCATTCACACTCAAATGTGTACTGCATTGGTGTCAGGTATTAAATAGGTATGGGGGATAGGACTTATTTCTTGATTTGCAGTCCAAGGTTCAGTGTAAGGGAAGTTCTCTACACACTCTGTTAAAGGCATTTGTTGTGTCTATCTGTACATGATTTAAAAATCTAATTTTTTATCTTTAAAACAGGAAAAGTAATGCCTTCTTTGCCTGTGCCACAGGATTGTTAAAAGGATAAAATGAAGTGGATTAAGTAGATGCAAAAACCTTAGAAAAATAAGGCAGTATAAAAATTTAAAGCTGTAATTTTAATTTGTTCTTACATGTGAAAGGTTTGTCTACAAATATCCGGTCAATTAAAGTATAAGAAATTTAATCCTAAGAGTTTTATGTTAAGTCTTTCAAGCATTTAATTATAACGTTGCTTACCAGGAGAAGTTAAGATGAACATTTTTCACACTTTTGGTATGAATATATCTTGTTCATTGTGGCTCTGTATCTGGTTTCAGGTAGGCCATTCAGTATTAGTAACCTTGCCAGACTAAAGAGGTTTTCCTGTTTCATCTGGTGTTAGTTGCTACCGTCTTCATCTGGGCATTTAATATTTGATAATTCAGCTAATTCTTTTGTAGACTCACTCTTGTGCACATAAATACAAATTCAGAAAATATGCAGCTAATTAATATATATTGCTGTGGTATAAATGACCAATGTTTAAAAATATTGTATATATTTAGCAGAATAAAGCTTTAGGATATTCATTTTGAAGTGGCATTAACTGTGGATATTAATCGTGGGTAAGGAGTGAACAGAGACTGGAATTGATGCCTTGAATCCTCGTCCAGATAATGAGGAAAGTTATTTTACCATAAGTGAATTGCCTTTCATAACAGTGTTTGGATTATAAAATAAATCAAACCAAAATTATCTGATTTCTTCCTTTTTCATTTGCTAAAGCCAAGCTAGTGGAACTTTGGAGAAGAATAATTTATAAAATTCGTTTACTGTAGAATACAATTTTGATATTTTTCTGCCAGTATAGCATCTAGTACTTTTTCTTTTTTTTTAAGTTGGCTTCAGCTGTTCTGGAGGCTGTGGAAAACAATACTCTAAGCATTGAACCAGTGGGATTACAACCTATCCGGTTTGTGAAAGCTTCTGCAGTTGAATGCGGAGGACCAAAGTAGGTTTTTACGTGCATGAACTGTGAAAGTGACTGAGTTTTTGAAATGTTATGGGTTGCAGTTATTTAGTTTTTCTGGTTTTAAATGTAGTTATATTTCCCTCAGATTTCTCTTAAGCGTCTGTGTAGCCTAGCCCAAAGACAAATTCCTGAGACAGTGTGGAATATAGTATTTCAGATTTAGCATTAAAGGAGAGCCCTTTTAATTATAGGTTGGTGCAAAAGTAATCGTGCTTGTTGCCATTGAAAGTAATGGCAACAAGCACAATTACTTTTGCACCAACCCAATACAGTAATATACATATATGATAGAGATCCAGGTAAACTAGAGATAGAAACCGGAGTTGTTTTTGTTTTTGTTTTTAACCTCATATTGTGACCTATTAGTGGATTGTGAAATCAGTTTAGTGGGTCATAAGTAGAATTTTTTTTATTACACGTATATGTGTAGCCATGTGTCCTGGGTTTCTGTATAAAATACTTCTCTCTGAGGGTGACCATCAAAAATAGTTTGGGAAGGTACTGAGTTAGACTAAGTCTTATCGATCATGAAAACTGTGTACCAAAAAGACTTGATGAGATCTCTCTTTTCATATTGTGTTTATAAAGGATTCTCACTTAAATAAATAATCAGTTTTGTCTTTCATATGTGAGTCTTACTTGAGAATTACAAATCTTCAGAGATAAGACTCCCACATTTCATAGCAGGGCAGACTTGTTTTCCATCCAGTCCTATAAGGAGGAATGACTGAAACCAACAGTGCTTAAAACATCTAGCAAAGACGAAAGGTTTTGCCTAAAACCGTGGCATAATTGTGTCTTGGCTTCTGTTTAAAAAATGACTTGGAAAGCTTTTGAGAAAGATGCTTATTAAGTGCTTAGAGCCAGATCAATATAGGGGACTGGAAAGACTGAGAGAGCTCATAGAAAGCATAACTGACTGCTGTCAGGGTTATTTTGAAGCCAGAAGAGGAAAAGACTGGTTGAGATGAACTAATAGGTCTGTGTTAAAGCTGTTGTAGGAATTGTGTGCTTGTTTCTATTCCCTGTTACGCACGTTACGGTCTCAGCAAGATTACAGAATGTTGTTGTTTAGGTGACCATTTGTTGGAGGGTTCCTAGTCATATGTTTGCTCTGTGAGCCACACGTCCACCTCGCTCCCTCAAGCCACACGTGTAGCACGGTGGCCTCTGAATTTTAGGGAAAGAATTTACATTCTTAAATTCTACAAATACCCAAGTATTTTTGTTCTGATCCTTCCACCCCAAATATGGAGAGTTAAATTTAATCATAGCAGTTTTCTTATTTTTAAGGTCTGTGTCATGCCTCATTTTAAATATAGCATATAACTGTTTTTATTGTAGAATTTAAAATTTGTGCTTGCATTATATATCACATATATATGTGCAGATATCATCAAATGATAACAAATGGGGATATCAAATTAAAGTGGATTTATAGTATCTTTAGTAAAATAATTATAGTTTAGATTTAGAGAACAGTTTACAAAGTTTAAGGATATTGTGCTTGTGGGAATGGGGCCAGAAACCAAGGTGATGCATATCGTGGAAAAAACTAAAGGAAGATACTGTCTTCCTTTATGAAATGTGAAGTGTGGCTTTGGCCGTGGTTCTTGTGAGCTAGAGTGTGAAGATAATGACTAAGTGAGTGGCACAGCACTGTAGGAATTTTGAGGAAGACAAGATCATTCAAACTATGATTAGGTACTCTTCTTGAAGGAAGAGAGATTTGGTTTAAGTTTTTTTTTTAATTTTTTTATTATTATTATTATACTTTAAGTTTTAAGGTACATGTGCACAACATGCAGGTTTGTTACATATGTATACATGGGCCATGTTGGTGTGCTGCACCCATTAACTCATCATTTAGCATTAGGTATATCTCCTAATGCTATCCCTCCCCACTCCCCCAACCCCACAACAGTCCCCGGTGTGTGATGTTCCCCTTCCTGTGTCCATATGTTCTCATTGTTCAGTTCCCACCTATGAGTGAGAATGTGCGGTGTTTGGTTTTTTTGTCCTTGCGATAGTTTGCTGAGAATGATGGTTTCCAGCTTCATCCATGTCCCTACAAAGGACATGAACTCATCATTTTTTATGGCTACATAGTATTCCATGGTGTATATGTGCCACATTTTCTTAATCCAGTCTGTCATTGTTGGACATTTGGGTTGGTTCCAAGTCTTTGCTATTGCGAATAGTGCCGCAATAAACATACATGTGCATGTGTCTTTATAGCAGCATGATTTATAGTCCTTTGGGTATATACCCAGTAATGGGATGGCTGGGTCAAATGGTATTTCTAGTTCTAGATCCCTGAGGAATCGCCACACTGACTTCCACAATGGTTGAACTAGTTTACAGTCCCACCAACAGTGTAAAAGTGTTCCTATTTCTCTACATCCTCTCCAGCACCTGTTGTTTCCTGACTGTTTAATGATCGCCATTCTAACTGGTGTGAGATGGTATCTCATTTTGGTTTTGATTTGCATTTCTCTGATGGCCAGTGATGATGAGCATTTTTTCATGTGTGTTTTGGCTACATAAATGTCTTCTTTTGACAAATGTCTGTTCATATCCTTTGCCCACTTTTTGATGGGGTTGTTTTTTTCTTGTAAATTTGTTTGAGTTCATTGTAGATTCTGGATACTAGCCCTTTGTCAGATGAGTAGGTTGCAAAAATTTTCTCCCATTCTGTAGGTTGCCTGTTCACTCTGATGGTGGTTTCTTTTGTTGTGCAGAAGCTCTTTAGTTTAATTAGATCCCATTTGTCAATTTTGGCTTTTGTTGCCATTGCTTTTGGTGTTTTAGACATGAAGTCCTTGTCCATGCCTATGTCCTGAATGGTATTGCGTAGGTTTTCTTCTAGGGTTTTTATAGTTTTAGGTCTAACATTTAAGTCTTTAATCCATCTTGAATTAATTTTTGTATAAGGTGTAAGGAAGGGATCCAGTTTCAGCTTTCTACATATGGCTAGCCAGTTTTCCCAGCACCATTTATTAAATAGGGAATCCTTTCCCCATTGCTTGTTTTTGTCAGGTTTGTCAAAGATCAGATAGTTGTAGATATGCGGCATTATTTCTGAGGGCTCTGTTCTGTTCCATTGGTCTATATCTCTGTTTTGGTACCAGTACCATGCTGTTTTGTTTACTGTAGCCTTGTAGTATAGTTTGAAGTCAGGTAGCGTGATGCCTCCAGCTTTGTTCTTTTGGCTTAGGATTGACTTGGCAATGTAGGCTCTTTTTTGGTTCCATATGAACTTTAAAGTAGTTTTTTCCAATTCTGTGAAGAAAGTTGTTGGTAGCTTGATGGGGATGGCATTGAATCTATAAATTACCTTGGGCAGTATGGCCATTTTCACAATATTGAGTCTTCCTACCCATGAGCATTGAATGTTCTTCCATTTGTTTGTATCCTCTTTTATTTCATTGAGCAGTGGTTTGTAGTTCTCCTTGAAGAGGTCCTTCACATCCCTTGTAAATTGGATTCCTAGGTATTTTATTCTCTTTGAAGCAGTTGTGAATGGGAGTTCACTCATGATTTGGCTCTCTGTTTGTCTGTTATTGGTGTATAAGAATGCTTGTGATTTTTGTACATTGATTTTGTATCCTGAGACTTTGCTGAAGTTGCTTATCAGCTTAAGGAGATTTTGGGCTGAGACGATGGGGTTTTCTATGTGTACAATCATGTCATCTGCAAATTGGGACAATTTGACTTCCTCTTTTCCTAGTTGAATGCCCTTTATTCCCTTCTCCTGCCTGATTGCCCTGGCCAGAACTTCCAACACTATGTTGAATAGGAGTGGTGAGAGAGGGCATCCCTGTCTTGTGCCAGTTTTCAAAGGGAATGCTTCCAGTTTTTGTCCATTCAGTATGATATTGGCTGTGGGTTTGTCATAGATAGCTCTTATTATTTTGAAATACGTCCCATCAATACCTAATTTATTGAGAGTTTTTAGCATGAAGGGTTGTTGAATTTTGTCAAAGGCCTTTTCTGCATCTATTGAGATAATCATGTGGTTTTTGTCTTTGGTTCTGTTTATATGCTGGATTACGTTTATTGATTTTCTTATGTTGAACCAGCCTTGCATCCCAGGGATGAAGCCCACTTGATCATGGTGGATAAGCTTTTTGATGTGTTGCTGGATTCGGTTTGCCAGTATTTTATTGAGGATTTTTGCATCAATGTTCATCAAGGATATTGGTCTAAAATTCTCTTTTTTTGTTATGTCTCTGCCCGGCTTTGGTATCAGGATGATGCTGGCCTCATAAAATGTGTTAGGGAGGATTCCCTCTTTTTCTATTTATTGGAATAGTTTCAGAAGGAATGGTACCAGCTCCTCCTTGTGCCTCTGGTAGAATTCGGCTGTGAATCCATCTGGTCTGGACTTTTTTTGGTTGGTAAGCTATTAATTATTGCCTCAATTTCAGATCCTGTTATTGGTCTATTCAGAGATTCAACTTCTTCCTGGTTTAGTCTTGGGAGAGTGTATGTGTCGAGGAATTTATCCATTTCTTCTAGATTTTCTAGTTTATTTGCATAGAGGTGTTTATAGTATTCTCTGATGGTAGTTTGTATTTCTGTGGGAGCAGTGGTGATATCCCCTTTATCATTTTTTATTGCACCTATTTGATTCTTCTCTCTTTTCTTCTTTATTAGTCTTGCTAGCGGTCTATCAGTTTTGTTGATCTTTTCAAAAAACCAGCTCCTGGATTCATTGATTTTTTTGAAGGGTTTTTTGCGTCTCTATTTCCTTCAGTTCTGCTCTGATCTTAGTTATTTCTTGCCTTCTGCTAGCTTTTGAATGTGTTTGCTCTTGCTTCTCTAGTTTTTTTTTTTTTTTTTTTTTTAGTATTTATTGATCATTCTTGGGTGTTTCTTGGAGGGGGTATGTGGCAGTGTCATAGGATAATAGTGGAGAGATGGTCAGCAGATAAACACGTGAACAAAGGTCTCTGGTTTTCCTAGACAGAGGTCCCTGTGGCCTTCCGCAGTGTTTGTGTCCCTGGGTACTTGAGATTAGGGAGTGGTGATGACTCTTAATGAGCATGCAGCCTTTAAGCATCTGTTTAACAAAGCACATCTTGCACTGCCCTTAATCCATTTAACCCTGAGTTGACACAGCACATGTTTCAGAGAGCACGGGGTTGGGGGTAAGGTTATAGATTAACAGCATCCCAAGGCAGAAGAATTTTTCTTAGTCCAGAACAAAATGGAGTCTCCTATGTCTACTTCTTTCTAGACAGACACAGTAACAATCTGATCTCTCTTTCTTTTCCCCACATTTCCCCCTTTTCTTTTCAACAAAACCGCCATCGTCATCATGGCCTGTTCTCGACGGTCGCTGTCTCTTCGGAGCTGTTGGGTACACCTCCCAGACGGGGCGGCCGGGCAGAGGTGCTCCTCACTTCCCAGACGGGGTGGCCGGGCAGAGGAGCTCCTCACATCCCAGACAGTGGGCGGCCAGGCAGAGGCTCTCCTCACCTCTCAGACGGGGCAGCCGTGCAGAGGCGCTCCTCACCTCCCAGACGGGGCAGCCGGGCAGAGGCGCTCCTCACCTCCCAGACGGGGCGGCCGGGCAGAGGCGCTCTTCACCTCCCAGACAGGGCGGCAGGGCAGAGGCGCTTCCCACCTCCCTGACGGGGCGGCCGGGAAGAGGCGCCCCTCACCTCCCAGACGGGGCGGCCGGGCGGAGGCGCTCCTCACATCCCAGACAGGACGGCTGGGCAGAGGCGCTCCTCACTTCCCAGACGACGGGCGGCCGGGCAGAGGCACTCCTCACCTCCCAGACAGGGTGGCTGGGCAGAGACGCTCCTCACCTCTCAGACAGGGCGGCCGGACAGAGGCGCTCGCTTCCTAGATGGGGCGGCCGGGCAGAGGCGCTCCTTACCTCCCAGACGAAGGGTGGCCGGGCAGAGGTGCTCCTCACATCCCAGACGATGGGCGGCCGGGCAGAGGCGCTCCTCACTTCCTAGATGGGGCGGCCGGGCAGAGGTGCTCACTTCCCAGATGGGGCGGCTGGGCAGAGGCGCTCCTCACCTCCCAGATGATGGGCAGCCAGGCAGAGGCGCTCCTCACCTCCCAGACGGGGCGGCCGTGCGGAGGCGCTCCTCACCTCCCAGACGGGGCGGCCGGGCGGAGACGCTCCTCACCTCCCAGATGGGGCGGCCGGGCGGAGGCGCTCCTCACCTCCCAGACGGGTTGGCCAGGCAGATCTCTAGTTCTTTCAATTGTGATGTTAGGGTGTCAATTTTAGATCTTTCCTGCTTTCTCTTGTGGGCATTTAGTGCTATAAATTTCCCTCTACACACTGCTTTGAATGCGTCCCAGAGATTCTGGTATGTTGTGTCTTTGTTCTCGTTGGTTTCAAAGAACATCTTTATTTCTGCCTTCATTTTGTTATGTACCCAGTAGTCATTCAGGAGCAGGTAGTTCAGTTTCCATGTAGTTGAGCAGTTGTGAGTGAGTTTCTTAATCCTGAGTTCTAGTTTGATTGCACTGTGGTCTGAGAGACAGTTTGTTATAATTTCTGTTCTTTTACATTTGCTGAGGTGTGCTTTACTTCCAACTATGTGGTCAACTTTGGAATAGGTGTGGTGTGGTGCTGAAAAGAATGTATATTCTGTTGATTTGGGGTGGAGAGTTCTGTAGATGTCTATTAGGTCTGCTTGGTGCAGAGCTGAGTTCAATTCCTGGATATCTTTGTTAACTTTCTGTCTCGTTGATCTGTGTTGACACAGTGGGGTTGTTGACAGTGGGGTGTTAAAGTCTCCCATTATTATTGTTTGGGAGTCTAAGTCTCTTTGTAGGTCACTAAGGACTTGCTTTATGAATCTGGGTGCTCCTGTATTGGGTGCATATATATTTAGGATAGTTAGTTCTTCTTGTTGAATTGATCCCTTTACCATTATGTAATGGTCTTGTCTCTTTTGATCTTTGTTGGTTTAAAGTCTGTTTTATCCGAGACTAGGATTACAACCCCTGCCTTTTTTTGTTTTCCATTTGCTTGGTAGATCTTCCTCCATCCCTTTATTTTGAGCCTATGTGTGTTTCTGCACATGAGATGGGTTTCCTGAATACAGCATACTGATGGGTCTTGACTCTTTATCCAATTTGCCAGTCTGTGTCTTTTAATTGGAGCATTTAGCCCATTTACATTTAAGGTTAATATTGTTATGTGTGAATTTGATCCTGTCATTATGATGTTAGCTGGTTATTTTGCTCATTAGTTGATGCAGTTTCTTCCTAGCCTTGATGGTCTTTACAATTTGGCATGTTTTTGCAGTGGCTGGTACCGGTTGTTCCTTTCCATGTTTAGTGCTTCCTTCAGGAGCTCTTTTAGGGCAGGCCTGGTGGTGACAAAATCTCTCAGCATTTGCTTGTCTGTAAAGTATTTTATTTCTCCTTCACTTATGAAGCTTAGTTTGGCTGGATATGAAATTCTGGGTTGAAAATTATTTTCTTTAAGAATGTTGAATATTGGCCCTCACTCTCTTCTGGCTTCTAGAGTTTCTGCCGAGAGATCAGCTGTTAGTCTGATGGGCTTCCCTTTGTGGGTAACCCGACCTTTCTCTCTGGCTGCCCTTAACATTTTTTCCTTTATTTCAACTTTGGTGAATCTGACAATTATGTGTCTTGGAGTTGCTCTGCTCGAGGAGTATCTTTGTAGCATTCTCTGTATTTCCTGAATTTGAATGTTGGCCTGCCTTGCTAGATTGGGGAAGTTCTCCTGGATAATATCCTGCAGAGTGTTTTCCAACTTGGTTCCATTCTCCCCGTCACTTTCAGGTACACCAATCAGACGTAAATTTGGTCTTTTCACATAGTCCCATATTTCTTGCAGGCTTTGTTCATTTCTTTTTATTCTTTTTTCTCTAAACTTCTCTTCACGCTTCATTTCATTCATTTTGTCTTCCATCACTGATACCCTTTCTTCCAGTTGATTGCATCGGTTACTGAGGCTTGTGCATTCGTCACGTAGTTCTCATGCCATGGTTTTCAGCTCCATCAGGTCCTTTAAGGACTTCTCTGCATGGGTTATTCTAGTTATCCATTCGTCTAATTTTTTTCAAGGTTTTTAACTTCTTTGCCATTGGTTCGAACTTCCTCCTTTAGCTCAGAGAGTTTGATCTTCTGAAGCCTTTCTCTCTCAACTCGTCAAAGTCATTCTCCATCCAGCTTTGTTCCGTTGCTGGTGAGGAGCTGCGTTCCTTTGGAGGAGGAGAGGCGCTCTGATTTTTAGAGTTTCCGGTTTTTCTGCTCTGTTTTTTCCCCATCTTTGTGGTTTTATCTACCTTTGTTCTTTGATGATGGTGACGTACAGATGGGTTTTTGGTGCAGATGTCCTTTCTGTTTGTTAGTTTTCCTTCTAACAGTCAGGACCCTCAGCTGCAGGTCTGTTGGAGTTTACTGGAGGTCCACTCCGGACCCTGTTTGCCTAGGTATCAGCAGTGGTGGCTGCAGAACAGCAGATAGTGCTGAACCGCAAATGCTGCTGCCTGATCGTTCCTCTGGAAGTTTTGTCTCAGAGGAGTACCCGGCAGTGTGAGGTGTCAGTCCGCCCCTACTGGGGGGTGCCTCCCAGTTAGGCTACTCGGGGGTCAGGGAGCCACTTGAGGAGGCAGTCTGCCTGTTCTCAGATCTCAAGCTGCGTGCTGGGAGAACCACTGCTCTCTTCAAAGCTTAGCTGGAAATGCAGAAATCACCCGTCTTCTGTGTGGCTCACGCTGGGAGCTGTAGACTGGAGCTGTTCCTATTCGGCCATCTTGGCTCCACCCTCCAGAAATAAAAACTGGTTTAGGTTTTTGAAGCATAAGGGTAATTTGGATAAAGAGCAATACATAACAACTGAAGGCCTAGAAACAAATCAAAGTGCGTTCAAAGGATGGTCAGTGTATGGAGAGGAAAGGGAAGATGTGACATTTTAAGAAAGAAAAGTTAGATTGGGGTGGGGGGATGGGTAAAGGAGAAAGGAGTTAGAGATATCTGACTGGAAGACTGATTTGAAGTGATTGTGGAAATTAATGGAAAAGGCTTTGATTTGTGGAAGAGGATTACGGTCTAGATTTAGACATATTGACATCCTCACATGAAAATGGGAAACAAGGATTTGAAATCTTGGGACTAGAGTTATAGAGATTTATTAATGTAGTGTAGCATGTTTGGGAAAAAAATGGAGTTGGAGGTCAGAGGTCTGTTTGCATTGAATCCTGGCTTAACTAAAAATACATTAGGTGTGTCCAGTTTACAAAATAGCTTAGAAATGAGATCTTTTAAGAAACGCTATACACCATGGAATACTATACAGCCATAAAAAAGAATGAGATCATGTCCTTTGCAGGGACATGGCTGGAGCTGGAGGCCGTTATCCTTAGCAACCTAATGTAGGAGCAGAAAACCACATGCTGCCTGTTCTCCCTTATAAGTGGGAGCTAAATGATGAGAACACATGGACACATAGAAGGGAACAACACACACTGCCGCTTGTGGAAGGGTGGAGGATGGGAAGAGGGAGAAGATCAGGAAGAATAATGGATACTTATTCTTCCTGAATCACCCAGGGTGATGAAATAATATATACAACAAACCCGCATGACACATGTTTACCTATGTAATAAACCTGCACACCCTGCAGTTGTACTCCTGAACTTACAAGTTAAAAAAAAGAAACACTTATTATTTTAAAAGTTGATACTTAAAGCCACCTTACCAGATCCCTTTCAAAATTAGGCTAAACAGTAGACCAGCAGGCATATGTCTGTTTCCAGAAGAATAGTGTATAAATTGGTTTTTAGCAGCTTAATGGCACATTTTCCTCTTATGCAAATTATACTTTTGGAAGTTCCACAGACTTCCAACACTTTGTGCTTTAAATTTCTGTATCTTCTATCCTCCCCAAGCTAGTAGTTAGTGCTTTTAAATATTGTTACAGATCATTAAAGGAATTTGCTAATAAAGAAACAATGAAGAAATATCTATTTGAAAAAAGACAGGAATTGATTTGTGATTTGAATTGCCCCCTCCTCAAAAATTATCCTGTTTCAAATACACATTGTTGTGTGTTTTCTTAATACAAAGGCACTTTTGTATTATATTTCTTGTATCGCTAAAATGTAATGTTATTTAATATATTTACTATATAATTTATACTGTCATATAAAATGCTGTTTGCCACTTACTTAGAGCTATGCTAATTTTGCATTGATGGGGAGTGATAGTTGTATTGAGCCAGGTTCCTAGCTTAGGGTGACAGCTGGGCTGCTGCAAGTCCGGCCTGATAGACATGCTAGCTTTATCTCATGGAGCCATAGGGTAACAGATGGCTCATTACTTATTCAGCAGTCATTGAATGTGTGCTGTGTGCCAGGCATTTAAAGATGAATCAAAGTCCCTGCCCTCAAGAGGTTGATAGCCTAATCCCAGCCAGAAAGCCCTCATATAAAATTTTAGCTTTTGTCATATGCAAATAGAAAGGATCATGTGAAATTCAGTGAACTTGTTACATGATTGTTAAGATTCAGTATTTTTATAAGGTGGCTTATTCCTTTGTACTTCTCCCTAGGTCCCACATTAAATGCATATAGAGCAACCAACCAACCAAATAAACAAATACCCCATCTGGAAACTATTACCCTGCAAGCTATCAATAACATGCTTTGAGACTTGAACAGTCATCATGAGGATATTTTCAGCTGAGAAGCTGAAATCCTGATGGAAAGCTGAGAGCTGTCCTGCAGCTGATTACTGATTTGTAAATTTGTTCCAAGATGGGACATACATGGAAAACACCTAGTTTCTGTTTCTAGAATCATGGTTAATGTTATGGCATTAAACTTATACTACTAATAGAATGTAAGTCTCACAAGGGCAGAGACTTTGTCCTTTTCATCACTTTAGCCCAGCATCTAGAACGGTGCCTGGTACACAGTAGGTTCTCAAATATTTGTTATCTAACTGAATGAATAGGCAACTTGTACAGAAGGTAGGGGCAAATGCTTTTCATTTCAAAAAACTGAAATTTATCATTATTTCACAGAAAATGTGCTCTCACTGGCCAGAGTAAGTCCTGTAAACACAGAATTAAATTAGGGGACTCAAGCAACTATTATTATATTTCTCCTTTTTGCAGATACAGGGTAAGTGACTTAACCATGAATTTTAATAAAGCTTGCTTTGATATGGGACATTTGACCATTCATGACATTTTCTCCATTTGGCCTAGATCACTTCTGTATGTAACTTTTTTACATACATTCGATACATTCAGCAGGGACTCGTGAAACAGCAGGATGGTGAGTGTTCTTGATTCAATATAAGTCTTTACATAAAAGTTCAGCAAAAAGTATAAGTAAAGTTCAACAAAAAGTATAGAATAGTAGTAATGCTCATATCAGCTTTATTGTTGGTACATTTATATTGAATCCCTTCTATAGTTCTAATAAAATTTGTGGAGAATTTGGGAACAAATGTCTTTTAGAAAAATATTGTGTTTAATTATTTTATTTGCCTCATTTTACTCTTAATTTTGAATTTTAAGCAGGGTCAGTTTTAACTCATAAGGGGTATATGATAAACCAGATGGTAAATGAGAAGAGAGTTCTAAGCTCATTGAATTGACTCTTTAAGAGATGAAAATGAGTAGGCCAGCAAAGTGGTCAGATTTATTTTAATTGATGGAAACCATCATGGAGCTCAAAATTAAGTTTTCCCTGTATTTTCTACTTTTTGCGTGTGAATTAATAAAGCAGTCATGAGGATAATTCTGAATGGAATAAAGATTGCCATATTCTAAATCAGCAGAAATGTGCAGGTGATATATCCAGGAGAACCAACCTCATGAAAGTGTGTTAATATTTTTAATACAATTTTATAGCTAAATATCTTAAATATCAGGCATGAAAACTAATATGGCCTGACAGCTCCAAAGCAGTATCTCTCGAGCACAAATGATAGTTTAAAAAAAAAAATAGCAGATACTAGGCTAGGGACAAGTCTGTGCCAGTTAGTATTTAAAGTTTTACAAAATTTCCCTGTTTATATTTTTTAGGCACTGAAAATATTATCTTGCTTAAACACTGGTAGAAGCCTACCATCTTTCAATCATGTAAAGCAGTGAATCTTAATTCTATGGAGAAGTTAGTCACGCTGATAAAAACTTAGTTTAGCCTTTCTCAAGGTCTGGTATGTTGAAAAATGTCATATTTCTTTAAAATCCCATATAGTTGGATTTTAATGCCTAAAACATTAGAGATAAAACCTGTTAACCTAATAACCTGATAACCTAATTAATGTTGAATTTCAAAAGGCCTAATAACATAAAAACAGTCTTTAAACTGTGTAATACTTTTTTTGACTTTAATAAAACTGAATTCTTTTTGAATACCTGTTGATGGATAATATAATTTAAGCCAGAGAACAGAAAATTTATGTTAAGTATAATTGCCAAGAATATAATATTTTTCTGTTTGTTTAAATAAGAAGCTTGGAAAGACAGAAAGATAATTTACTTTATGAAAATAGGAAGAAAGTGTTACGAGTAATGAATGGTGAGGGTGTTGATAATAAAAGTAGTATATCTTCTCTGGTTTCTGTCACTCTTCCACTTTATGATATTTAGTACATATCATTTAGTATGTGTGTTTGTTGTAAACAGGTATTAGTCTTAAAATCTGTTTATTATATGTGCCTTGTGCCAACAAAGGATTTAGGGCAGCTAAATCTAAAGCAGAATTTCTCGACCTTGGTACTAGTGACATTTTGAGCTGGATAATTCTTTGTTGTGGGGGACGGTCTTGTGCATTTGTAAGATGTTTAATAGCATCCCTAGCTTTTACTCATTAGATACCTGTAGCACCCCCGAGATGGGACAGTGAAAAATGTTTCTATTCATTGCCAAACGTACCCTGGAGTGGCCAGGGAATGAGGAGTGGTGGTGGTGGTAGTGGTGGAATCTTCCCTGATTGAGAACCATTGATCTAAATGAATATAATCTGATCATATATCAAACGAAGACCTTTTATTGTCTGAAATAAGGAGCCAACGTTTTTCCACTTACAGTGGGAACTTACAAAAGTATAGGTAATTGAATTTACAATTCATCTTCCACATGCATTTTTATTTCTAATTTGAGCCATACACAAAACCTTTCTGTTACTTCTCACAACGTTACTGAGTTTTCTGGATTGTCTTGTTTTCTTTTTTTGCCCTTCACCCTCTGGTAGTGTTAATGAAGAGTAAAATGGCCGCGATATAACAAACTAGAGCAAGAAGATTCGTAAGTTAGAGAATAGCTCGAATAATTGAGTATTGAGTATATTCACTTAATGAAGGTAACAGCATTGACATTTACTCAGGATGCTGAATGTCTACCTTTTCTTGGGCTAAAATGATAGTCTCTGATGTATTTAACAAATAATTGTGACAAAACTGGTGACTTTTGCTTTATTGATAAAACTGGGATGGTCACAAGTCTGTGGAAAAGTTTATGTGAATTATTGAAAAAATGTAGGTACATCTTTAGGAAATGCACAATTGACATTTCAGCTAAGGTTTTCAGCGAAACATTAAAAATAATGAAGATGGTATTTTATGATTTAAATATCTCTCTTTTCTGTTTGTATAGTTGATCAGATGTTTTGGGAGGTTATGCAGTTGAGAAAAGAGATGTCATTGGCAAAGCTGGGTTATTTCAAAGAGGAACTCTGATGCTCTGCGTGGGACCATGCCTGAACTCCCCGAATAACTGAAAAATGGCTGAATATTTTTATGGTTACTTGATATTTATTTCCAAGGAGTGAGCCTAAGACTTTTTTCCCCTTTTGCAAATTGCTCTAAGAAGTACCATGATTTCTTTTAAACTGATCTATGCTGTGTTTGCTTATTCTTTAGTTGAACACACTATGAAGAATTCCAGGTGTACTAGTGAATGTAATTTATAGTTGCCAAAAAAAAAAAAAACCTGAAATAAATAAATGTTAGATTGAATGTGTGTACATTTTCTCTTCTAGCTCTGACATGGCATTTAGGGTTAGCAGAATGTATTAAATAGTAATTTTCAAACTACACAGTAGCTTCCTTCCTTGTGAGAGGCAAGAAAGAAGTCTGAGTGGATAGTACTCACTTTCCAAGGCCCCCACCTCTAGAATGGCTTTATTTTTATCTGTTTTCTATATTGGGTTTCAAAAAAGATTTTATTTGAAGAAATACTTCTGCTGCTACAAAGTTTGAAAGTTACTATTTTAATTATTCTGCTCTCTGTAACTGAAAGAATCCCTTTATTTTGGTTATTCATTAAAATATAATAGAAGGCAGTCAGATTTTATCCCAGAGATGTATTCCTGAGTGTCTTGATATAGTGTATTCATGTTTTATATGTGTTGACCACTATATTGTCATTGGAGGGACATAGATGTAAATGAGTTTGACGTGTGTCAAAGGGGTTTAAAGGGGTGTGGATTGAATGAATGGTACGTGCGAAGTATATGCTGATTATAGAACCACTTGATCTCTGCATTCCAAATTGTAAAACTGACTCAACTGGAGAAATTATAACAAAGAGGTTTGTGGTAGACATGTAATAAGTATAGAAAAGCAAAAAGAAAAGAGAAACTGCTTTAGTTTCTGTTTAGAGAAAGCTGCTGTTAATATTTTTGGATAGTAGCCTTTCAGCTTTCAGATATTTTCTACTTACATATGCATATTTTTGAAACAAAAAGTAGGCTTTTTTTTTGCTTTTTAAACCTAAACATTAAATATATTTTCCCTTGGGTAAACCTACACATCCTAATCCCTGTTTATAGAATTTTAACATAATTTAATTGTGTTTGGAGATGAGGTGGTTTTCAGTTTATTTTTCATATTATAATGCTGTGACGAGTATCCTTATCTGTACACTTCTGAACATTGTGGAGTTCTTTCATGTGGATGCCTGGAGATAAAATTGTGTCGAGATATATATGTATTTTTAAATGTTTGATCTGCATTGCTAGATTGCCATCCAGAAAAGTTAATCAATTTGTATTCACAGCAGCAGTGTACAAGAGGGCTGGTTTTCTGAAGATAACATTTTTTTCAGTCCTGTTCAGAGGTTTGGTCAATCTTACCTGTAGATGACTTCAGCCACCAGGCTGGATGGGAGCCCACAGACAAAAGGACATTGGTGTATGTTATGGTGAAAACCATCAGTACCATGCCTAGCTCAAGAATGTGAAATTGAACCTGAAAAAAACTTTGAACCTACAATTTTATGTTCTGAAAATAGTTATTCTAATGTGAGGGCATTAATAAGAATATGTACCATCAAAGCTTCAGAAGATTTTCCGTACAAACTAAAATCACTTTTGGAGAAAGTACCTAAATAAAAAGAGAAACAAATCCAGGAGATACTGTACGGTTTGAAAGAAAGGTAATCAAATACTCAGAAAAAGTTTGTTGATGACTTAAAAAGGATAAATAAAAAGTAAGACTAAAGAAAATCAGTATACCCATTAATAATAAATCTTTAGTAATCTATAAGGGGAAGAATGCTTTTCAACCTTATACACTAGAAGCATGCTCTTTAAAATTAATGCAACAGGATGACGACTTGATGTAGAAACTATATGTGGAATTATAGATTAAAATGTGATTGAAACATATTTAGAAAATGTGATTATCTTCCTGATCCTACTCCCTTTAGGAAGAACTTCTTAAACTGGAAGCAGGAAAAAAAAAAACCATAAAAGATAACCATAAAAGAATATAAGTTATGGTATATTATAAATTCTTAATTTAGAAATCGTGCATCAGTAGTTAGGCATTGTGGCTCATGCCTGTAATCCCAGCACTTTGGGAGGCAGAGGCAGAAGGATTACTTGAGCTGCTTGAGCCCAGGAGTTTGAGACGGGCCTGGGAAAAATAGGGAAACTCCATTTACACACACACACACACACACACACACACACACACTGTGTCCATGAACTTGGGAGGATGAGGTGGGAGGATTGCTTGAGCCCAGGGGTTCAAGTCCAACTTGGGCAACATAGGGAGACCTTGTCTCTAAAAAAAAAACTAAAGCTAAACTACAAACTGTGAGGCAATATCTGCAACATTTATAACTAGTAATAGCTTAGTATCAAGAATGTATGCAGAAATTCTACAAACCAACAAAAAAGGACAGTGTCACAGAAAAACAGGCAAAAGACTGAACCAGGCCTTCCACACAATTAGAAGTGCATGTGGGCCAATAAACATTAAGAGGTTTTCATCTCTCAATCAGGAAAACGTAAATCAAGATGACAATGACATGTTCAAATTCATTCGATTGGTGAAAATGAAGAAACACAAAGTCAAGTTTTGGAGAGGGTTTTAGTCATTAGGATCACTCACATATTGCTGATGGGGGTATCAATTGGTATATCCACTGTGAAAAACCATTCACTAGAAAAGTTGGGCCAGGCCCAGTGGCTCATGCCTCTTGGCTTTGGGAGGCCAAGGTAGGAGGATCACTTGAGCCCAAGAGTTCAAGACCAGCTTGAGCAACATAGGGAGACCACATCTGCACAAAAAGATTTTTTTGAATTAGCTGGGCATGGTGGTGCATGCCTGTGGTCCCAGCTACTTGGGAAGCTGAGGTGGAAGGATTGCTTAAGCCCAGGAGGTTGAGGCTGCAGTGAATCATGATTGTGCCACTGCACTCTTACCTTGGGTGACAGAGTAAGATCATACCTTAAAAAAAAAAAAAAAGTATACCCATGGGTCAGCAATTTCACTTTTCAGTATATACTTGAGAAATGCTTGCACAGGTCCCCCAGATCACACATATAAGAATGTTCTGGAATAAATTAAAATGTCTATTTTTAGGAAGGTGTAATGTGTTCACAGAATGGGTGATTATTACATGGCAGCAAAATGAATGAATACCAGCTACTTGCAGCACAATAACTCAGAATGAAAAAGCAATTCTGAGAAAACTATATGTGACATGATACTTTTCTTATAAAAGTCAAGAACAACTAAAACTGAACAGCTGTTTAGGCATTGACATATGTGACAAAACTTTTAAAAAGTAATAAAGTTCAAGATAGTGGTTACCTCTGGAGAGGTAGAGGAGGAGCAAATCTATGAGTAAGTCACTGGTAATGTTTTAGTCCCTGGGTTAGGTGGTGGGTTTTGGGGTGGTTCATTTGTCATTAAAAGTAAGTACATGAGCTGGGTGTAGTGGTGCGTGCTTATAGTCCCAGCTACTTGGGAGTCTGAGATAGGAAGATCCTTGAGGCCAGTTCAAGGCTATAGTGTGCTATGATTTCACCTGTGAATAGCTACTATATTCCAACCTGGGCAA
Organism: Homo sapiens; assembly: GCF_000001405.40. Classification (NCBI taxonomy): domain Eukaryota; kingdom Metazoa; phylum Chordata; class Mammalia; order Primates; family Hominidae; genus Homo; species Homo sapiens. Next base: position 69,819,063 of record NC_000012.12, read on the forward strand.
CGTAGACCTTGCCCCCCTTTAAAAAAATTCAAAAACAAAATAAATGCATGGACAAATGAATAAGAGAGTTATGCATGGAACATCGGTGGTGTATTATGAATCAAGCATTATTACTAGCTCAGTTATATGTGCCTTCATTCCAAAACAAAAAATAAAAGGTAAGAAAATTGTTGAATTGCATTTGAGAGAGAGGAAAGGAAAGAATTCAGGTCTGAATCTTAGGCTTTTGGCTTGAGCTATTGCAGTTTATTGAGATGGGGAAATACATGGTGGGGAAAGTTTGGGTATGTGCATAACAGAGACAGAAATTCAGTGTTTGACAGATCAAGTGTGAGGTGCCCACTGAGCATCAAAGTGGATATGTTAAGCAGGTATTGGATGTACAAATCTAAATTCAGTAAGGTCAGTCCAGGAGAAAATTTGGGGAGTAGTTAGCCATGGGATCAGATGGGCGCTTTAGGGACACTTTGGAGATGAAGTACAGCACTGAGCCCTGAGTTCCTGTGACAGAGAAGCAGCCTGCAAAGACGAAAGGAGGAGCTGTTAGGAAGAGCAAGGCAACAGAAAAGGAAGAACCAGCATGCTGATTATGTTCAGGAGAGTGTTTCTACGCTGAATTTAATTGCCAAGATTACCAATTCTAAAGAAGAGGAGGACTCTTGGACAAGTTTTTAGAAGTTGGTTTGGAGCTGGGGTGAGAGCCTGGCCTAATGGAGACAGCTCTGGATTGGGAGTCACTTAGACCTACATTCTGGTCTAGGTTTGGCTCCCAAAAACTGGGAAGGTTAGTTAGGTGGCCACTCCTCTCTCTTCATGGTCTCTCTCAGCTTGAAGACAATTTACAGTCTTTGACTAAGCATCCACACTGGAAGAACAAGATTTGGTTTCTGAACATTGGGTCTTAGTCCTTAAAATAACTTGCAACCTGTTACGTCTTCACTTACTCCCATCGCCACCACAAGAATCCTGTGTGTTTTTGTTTTGTGCATCCAGTCTAAAACGGGTCTGCTTTTATTCATAGGCTTTTGTTTTCAGTGGTTTTTGTTGTTGCATTTTTCCCTAGATAAAATGTTTTTTCTATAAGACACTGCTTAAAAGAGTCCAATGCAGTATGAATTTGTATTTGTGTTTAACTTTTGTGCTTAACAGATCTGCCATGGCTGAACTCTCAGTTGCTTAAGCAAAATTCTGGGGCTTATTCTAGGTTCCTTTATTTGTCATTGTCACTCCCATTCCAGTTATCAGCAAATTCCATCAGCTGTCTCCGAGACATCTTAAATCTGTCTACCTCCCTCCATGTCCACTGCTACCACTCTGCCCAAGCTATTATCATCTTTCACCTGAACTCCTGCACTAATGTCTGCTGTCCTTGCATCCACTCCTGCCCTCCTACAATCACTGACGGCAGCCGCAGGGATCTTTATAAAACGAAAATCAGATAATGTCACTTCCCTGCTTAAAGCCCTTTGAGTGGCTTCCCATTGCACTTAGAAAAAAAAAAAAAAAAAAAAACTGGCCAGGTGCGATGGCTCATGCCTGTAATCCCAGCACTTTGGGAGGCCGAGGCGGGCGGATCCCCTGAGGTTGGTAGTTCGAGACCTGCTTGGCCAACATGGAGAAACCCTGTCTCTACTAAAAACACAAAATTAGTCAGGTGTGATGGCGCATGCCTGTAATCCCAGCTACTTGGGAGGCTGAGTCAGGAGAAACGCTCGAACCCAGGAGGCAGAGGTTGTGGTGAGTTGACATCACGCCATTGCACTCCAGCCTGGGCAACAAGAGTGAAACTCCGTCTGAAAAAAAAAAAAAAAAACCCAAACTCAATAGAAAATCAAGTTTTCATAGTGGTAGTTGTTAACAGAGAAATAACAATGAAAGCTTTAAAAAACTCCATGAAAATTTGCAAAACTTAAAAAAAAAATGTAGAAGAGGACTAAACTTGATAAAATATTAAAAGAATTGAAACCCTTCCTAAAGGCAGCTTCTCAAGGGAGCACAAGTTCACACACAGTTTACTTTTGGAGGAACGTCTGAGGTCATGAGGACTAGATTCTAGAGCTACAGGTCTCAGGGACAGTCTCGAGGGATACAGGGCCCCCATCACCACATCCCCAGATTTAACCGCAGCAGCTCAGCTTTTATCTGTATCTGTTGGAGCTCTCTAGGAAATGTCAATACCAAAGCAAACCCAAATCACAACTAGATTAGATTACTATTCAAGAGAATGATTCTCTACCGAAACTCTGCAAAATGGGGATATCAAGAGAGTTGGAAAATGTAAGACGTAAAGACCATAATCAGGAAAATACGCATCATATTTGTTATTCACTGAGAGGGAGGAATTTCCACTTAAATCCTATTTCCAGCAGCTGGATTGTGCTCTCAGTGGAGTGCTCTGGATTCTGATTAATAGAGATTTTCTAGTCCTCCCAGCAACTTCCTTCTCAATTCTCTTCACTTTCCGCAGATCTCGGCACCAGGGTTGCATCTTGTGGGCTCCATTGTGTTTTCACACAATGTGCTATTTGTCCTTCACAGTGTTTTGGTTTATTTTTCTGTTTGTCCATCTTGTTTTTGAACAATTGCCAGCATTTAAAAATGAGGAAATCTAAAATCTGCATTTCAAGCTGCTCTTTTTTAAAATGTGCCGTTTCGACAACACTGAGCCCACAGTCTTGAATGACAACACTTGGGTGGAGCTGAGTGACTCCACCTGTCGGGTGGCTACACCCTTGCTCAGGGTATGCACTCCATGGTTTGCTCTATGGCCCACCATCCTGGATTGTCTCCCTGACACCAAGGCTAAGGGACCCACTTTACTCACTTATCTGCTGGGCCTTGGAAGTATTTCAGTTCGGAACCCCAATTCTAACCTTAGCTTCTCAGGCCATTAAATGAAATCTCATTTCTATGATGCTTCCTGTCACATCACTGTGCTGCTGAGAACATGAAGTCTGTGGGTGAATTGGTGGACGGGATCCAGAATCATTACTTGGCAGTGGATTATAGTGTGATGACTCATTTCCGGTGGTCTCCAGGAGACTTGGCTGGGAGCTTCTCTTGGAGTCTAGGGTTAGCCAGAGGCTACATGTTTTAGGCATCTTAATTCATATTTTATCTAAAGGCATATAAATCCTTAAAAAAAATCATTTGACTTCATCCTTGCTCCCTACATCCAGCCAGTAACCATTGCTTTGTTTTACATCGCGTGCTTCAGGCTTTACTACAGCCTACCTGGATTTTGCAGTAGCTTCTTAAACTGCTTAAACTTTGGATATTGCCCCAGCCAACACATTCTGCCACAGAGATCTCTCTGAGTTAAATGGGATTGTATCATGCCCCACACCCAAGCAGATAGAAACTGTCAATAGATACACTTAGAATGAATATGCATGGAATCAAATTACATTCAGAATCTACCACTATAGGTAGTGAATACAACAGGATAGCAGAGGCTGGGAAGGGTAATGGGGGTTGGGGGGTGGGAGGATAAAGGGGTTGGGTAATGGGTGTAAAAATCTATAGAAGGAATATGATCTGTTGTTTGGTAGCACAATAGGGTAAATACAGTTAATAATTTATTGTATATTTCACAATAAAGGAGTGGATTTGGAATGTTCTCAACACAAATGATAAATGTTTGAGGTGATGGATACCCCAATTACCCTGATTTGATCATTATACGTTGTATGTTTGTATCAAAATATCATATGTACCCCATAAATATGTACAACTATTATGTATCCATAAAAATTGGAAATAAACTACCACCATCTTTCTTCAGCCTATTTTCCTATCTCCTCTCGCACCATACTAGGCACACAATCTCTGTACCTGTGCTGTCTTCCAAGCCATTGCTCATGTTTTAAGAAATATACTTATTGTTTAATATATCCTGTACCACTGTAGGATGACTGTAGTTAACAATAATGTGTAGTTTCAAATAGCTAATAGCTGGAAGGAAGTTGTTGAATGTTTCCAACATAAAGAAATGATAAGTGTTTGAGATGATGGATATGCTAATTACCCTGATCTGATCACTACACATTATATGTATGGAAATATCATTGTGTACCCCATGAATATGGGCAATTATTATTTGTTAATTAAAAAAATAAAAAAAAGACCCACCCACTGTTTAAGTGTATCTACATCCTAGCTCTTTGTGGCACCTTTCCAGATCCTCCCAGATTAAATTACTGTCCTTTCTCTGTTCTCTTGAGACATTTTCCCAGCTATCAGTCTGCCCTGAGTTACAGTCACTTGTGTTTTTCTCATGCCCTAGATTTCAGTTTATGGAGGGCAGGGACTATTATTTATTCATTTTTTTATTTCCTGCACCCAGCAGATAGCTTCACACAATTGTTGAAAATTCATTTCTTTAAACAACTTGATGACTTGTCCTTATAGATCTGACAGCCAGTGTGACCGTCAAAAGAAGCTCCTAAACCTTTTCTTTTCTAAGCTAAACTTAGTTTGCTCATTTTCAAGTAACAGTATATGTGTGTAAAATATGTTTGGAATTATGTCACCTACAATTCTAATAATGAAACAATAGACAAATTTGGAAAATGGGTATTCTACAAGGCAATGAGCCTGGACTATAGAAAAAAGTCAAAATCATGAAGAGCACAAATCAAAATGACAAGGGGACTGTTCTATAGTTTAAAAAGACATAACCAAAGGCAGTGCATGGAAATCCATTGGATCCTTAATCAGAAATCAAAAGCCATAAAAAATATTTTGGAGACTGGAAGAAATTACATATGAGATGATAATATTACATTTCTTTGGTATAATGATGATATTGCAATTACATGTGAAAATGTCCTTATTGTTGGGACACATATACTGCGTTATTTAAGGGTGATATGTCAAGATGTCACCAACTTATTTTCAAATGGTTCAGTCAAAGGGTATGGATATATATATATATATATATACATTCAGAATCTACCACTATAGGTAGTGAATGCAAAGGAGGATAGCAGAGGCTGGGAAGGGTAATAGGGGTTAGGGGGTGAGGGGATAAAGAGGGGTTGGGTAATGGGTGCAAAAATATATAGAAGGAATATGATCTAGTGTTTGGTAGCACAATAGGGTAAATACAGTTAACAATAATTTATATTTCACAATAAAGGAGTGGATTTGGAATGTTCCCAACATAAATGATAAATGATAAATGTTTGAGGTGATGGATACCCCAATTACCCTGATTTGATCATTACACATTGTATGTTTGTATCAAAATATATGTACCCCATAAATATGTACAACTATTGTGTATCCATAAAAATTAGAAATAAACTATATATATAAAAACTATATGGATATATATATAAACAAACTATATATGGATATATATATATCCATATCCTTCCACACACATATCCATATCCACACACATATCCATATCCACTGCTACCACTCTGTCTCATATATATATGTATATATGTATATATATATGTATATATATGTATGTGTATATATATATATATATGAGAGAGTGTCAATAATTGGTAAGTGTAGATGAAGAGTATATGGATATTTTATGATACTATTTTTTTTCCAAATAGTTGGGAAAAAAGAAAAGGAAGGGGCGAAAGGATAATTTAATTTCCTAATTGTATTTTCTTAGGCTATTGTTAAATGAATTATAGCTAAGCAGTGAAAACAAAACATTTATTCGGGTATGGTTTTATATTTAGGAGTGAATCAAGTTACTAGTGACTCAACTGTAAGAATTATTAAATTGGTAATGCAGTTTTCGTTGCTTGTTAGAGAGACTTCTCATACTTTATGGTTTATGCTTTGGAAGCAAATAAGCTCTAGAGGAAATGGAACAGGTATGTATTAAGGAATTTAAGTTTTTGCTGTAAGTTTGGAAATACTTAACAAATTCTAACTTTTCATTATCACAAGCCTTTTAAAATTACCTGTGATGATAGGTATCTATAAAAGTAATTATATTGATTTATCCCTTTTTTCTAGGTTAAAAAAATAAGTATGTTTTATTGGTGGTAGCTAAGTGGATCTAGTTGATAAAGGTGGAGATATAAATATATTGGTGTAAAAGGACAAATATGAGATAAGACTATGTATTTATTGCCCATTTATGTAATTGCATGTGTCACTAAGGACAAAGGTCCTTAAAGACGAAAAGCAGAGTAGAAACAGTTCCTTATATTAAGACAGATGAATTTGCTACCTCTTCCCTCTTCATGAATTTTTTTTAAATGTATGGTTGTATATCCTTCCAGTTTTATAATCACATTTGAAAACTCAACCATCTTTCTGGGCACAATTTGATGGCTGAAGATATGCTTCACTCCAATAAAAAGAAAATGAAGATTTTTCAAGAGCATTCGTAGGCTTCGAATCAAAAGGACAGTACTTATTTCCTGAGGTCTGATAACCGTTGTTTTATGAGGAAATAGTACTAGGATCACAGTACCATGGATGTGGTAGGCGAAAATGAGGCCCTGCAGCAGTTCTTTGAAGGTAAGAGGCCAATTTCCAGCATGAATTTGCTGCTTCTGAGAAATGCTCACTATCCCTGTTTCACCTTTTCCGTATTCACTTAAACTTTGTTTTGAAAGAAATGCTATCATACTTAGGTAACTCTCCTAATATCAAAAGTAGGGGTTTATTTGCTACATTGGGAGCAAAATTCAATGGTATGGATAGAGATTTTAAACAAAACAGGATTTTCATCTTATAGTTTGGTTGTTAGAATCAAGGGGTCAGCATATTTATGTTGTTATTACTTGTCCCTGTCCTGTACTAGATTTTATTTTTTCCCATGCCCTATGTTTAAAAAAACTACATAGCCATGCTCAAATTCCATGTGAAGGGAAACGTGACCATCATTTTTACACGGTAAGGTATTTTGCATGAGGGAGTATGAGAAGAAGTGAGGGAAGACCTGCTCATTTACAGAATCTAGGGATCAGTCAGCAGCACATCGAGAAAAGTGCTTTAGGTATTTCTTGTGCTTTGTAAAGTGCCTGACAAATAATATATATTTAAAAGTTGAATGGAATGGGCTGAATAGTAAACAATGCTGAACACTAAAGAGTGACGGGGCGTACCAAAGAAATAGTGAGATTCTATGTCACTATTGGGAGGAATCAACACCATGGGGTAGTTTCTGTGGCTTGGGTTTTTCCAGAAATGGCAAGAAGAAACATAAGACCAAGAGAATTATCACATTATCTTGTCCTACCATCCATCCCATTGAGTGTTCTGTCTCTGACAGTGGCCAAGTTGGTATTGTCTACCTGGGTCATGCTTGGCACATGGTAGGCACACTAGTGTTGCTAGACTGTTATTGCCTGATTTTATATCATATATAATTTTCGTTTGAGCAGCAGGTGGCAAGCTTCAATCTACCATTGCATCTATTTTAGAGAAACCAGCAATTTATTGTATACATGCAAAAATCTACTCCATTTCCTTCTAGAGCTAGGGAAGACCTGAATATCGAATTTGGTCTACCTTCTGTTTTTTGAAAGAGCTTTTATTTCTATGGGATCCCTATACTGTCCTTGTTTATACTATTTTTGGAGGTTTCTATGGATATAGTTTCTACAAGTCCCCTCTACAGCTTGTTACAATTATCTGATCATTATTATAAAAGTATTTGTCTTCAGTGTTTTTCTTACATTATCTGTGAATAGTTGGAAAAGGTGGTAGACTTCACAAATTAAAATGAAGGCACTAGCTTAAGTGAGTCCCATCCCCCTGAAAATCACACAGCTAATTGTCAATTTTTTCTTACCTCTACTATTCAGCAAATATTGAGCGCCTACTCTGAGTCAGGTTCAACAACCACTTTCTTTAAATGGTAGCTTGTAGGGCTTTGGATGCCTTCTCTTACATTTTAATAATTTCCTTTCTCTTGACCCTTTTCAAATGAAGGCAGCTGAACTGAAGCTGATATTCTTGATCTGCAGTCCAGTGCTCTACCTCTGAGCTATACCCTCTCCTTGAATCTGATATTCTAATGAGAAGAACCAGTTGTTTCATGTCATGCTCCTATTGATATGTTAACTGTTTCTAATCAAACACCATCTCATATATAAAAAATTCAGGGTTTGAAAATCAAGAAAAAAATTTGACAATTTGTTACCCACCTGAAAGCTATTTTCTCCATTTCCTCAGGCTCTTCATTCTAAGAAACTAAGCCCTAAATAATATATGTTTTCCTTATAAACATTTTTATATTAAAAATTATCTTGAATTAAATGGCCTTGACTGTCAAAGCTCATGATGATCTTAGTTTTTTTTTTTAAACTTCCAAACGTGACTAAATCTTCATGGTGTCTCAGGAAAATGACAAGGGTGGTTGTTCTGGGTAGCTGATAATTCTGGTTCTAATTCAAATCCCTGTCTGCCACTGATGCAATAGGTAGGCTTGTGAGCTAAAGCAGAAGAGGCGCAATCAGGCACTCTAGAGATCGCAACATCCTCTGGAAACTCAGACGCCATGTGAGATGTTTGGTTTTTTCAGCAAAATGGTACCACTTCAAAAAAAAGGTTGTCATAAGACGGGTGCATTGTTTTATTTATAATAACTAAAAATTGGTTACAACCTAAATTTCTAATAGTGGTGGATTTATTAATTATGGTTCTAACATATAATGGAATATTTTATGGCTATTAAAAATGATGACAAGGAAAAATGTTTATGATCTTAAGCAAAAAAGTGACTTACAATGTGGAATATATAAACACAATTAGATATATATAGATAACTTTCTATAGCAAAGTTTATTAAAACTGGGTTGAAAACAGTTAATATATTTCCATTCATGCACACACAAATACATAGAAAAAACCATATGAATATACTTTAAGCATTAATAGTAACTACCTTGGAGTGATAGGATTATGAAGATTTTTATTTTCTTTATACTTTATTATCTAAGTGCTTTATAATTTGAATATATAATGTTATAATCAGGGAAGAGTTTATCTTAAAGGAGAATAGGTTTAATTCAGCAAAATGCTTCTGTTTAAGATCCATGTGTCAAGAAAAATTGTAAAAGATTTTGACATGGATTGAAAGGATTACTGGGTGTCTTCCATGGAAATCTGTGCCTAAATCACATCATTCTGGGCTATGGGATTCTATGGGGTTTGCCCCTTTCAGTGTGGTAGAGCTATGTTAAAACTCTGTAAATTGCAGGTAACTGATATCGGTGCAAATGATTTTTATATATAGATATGCAAATGAAATATGTTCTTGGGGGATCAATAGTTTCAGTAAAAGCCATTTTTGCATTTATTTATAAATTCATTCTATACAGTGTATGTGTGTATCTGATGTTTGAATTCTCCTTTGAAACGGTTGTAACATCTTCCTGGTCCCTTCATTAATTAAGTAGTTAAATACAATCTGTGACATGCATTCATATTATATTTCTATGAGAGTCATGGTTTTATCTTTAGAAATCTATATGCTTTAACGTTTGCAAAGTTTAAGTTAACTTGAAACTTTAACGTTTGCAAAGTTTTAAGTTAACTTGAAAACATTGTCAATTTCACCTCAAGTTTGAAATTAATAACATCTGTTGAGCATTTACCATGTGCCAAGCGCCGTGCTATTTACTTTACATCATATCATTTTATTCTTACAACAACCTTCTGGATGAAAAGGAATTAAAAGATGAAGTACAGTAAATCCCATTCCTCACTTTACTTCATTTATCTTTGATAGCTATAATCTTAGACTCTTAATTTGTACTATCTTGATATCAGAGGACTCATTATTTGTTTCCAAGCTCTTAAAAATAGTTTATTAAAAATGATTTGAAAACAGTATTGTTGATTATATTTAATCTCGAAAGAACAAATTTTTGAGAAGCTATTTATTTATCTTCTTCATCCTGAAGTAGGTGCTCAAATGCTTTGTTGGCTTAGCGTTGAAAGCAAAGAGGAGATTCCCGCCCAGATTGAGCAGAGTGGGGAAAAGTATGCCGTGGGAAAAACTACATACTAAGATCACAAGTAAAAGCTCAAGAAGGAAACTGGCAGAAACTCTGGCTCACTTGTTGAGGTTTGTGGGAGTAGCTGCTAGAACCTGTGGAAGGACAGTAACCACCAGGCAGCTCTTGAGATCTATGAGGAAGAATAGTCTGTTCAGGAAACTGCCATCAAAAAAGCTTTGAACATTTTCTGCCCCTGTCTCGCTGCTTAAGATTTAAATTCTCCAGATAGCTATTATCAAAAGAGGGCAGTGGGGATGCAGGGAAGGCAGAAACATCTGCTGTCCATAAGCTGTATAGGAATACCACGGAAGTGCCCCATGTTCAGGAAAATGGGGGAAATGCTGAAGGCTTTGGAGCAGACAAGCAGTGACTGAAGTGCTTAATTCAGGTGGGATTAATCTAGAAGGGCTTCAGGGAGGTTAAGCAGAATTGCTGTGTAGAGGAGAGCCGTTGCTTGGAAAAAGTGCCTGTATGATATTGGCATATAGTAGGCACTTACTGATATTTATGTAGTGAATGAATGAAAGAACAGTGCAAAAGACTAGTCCATTCAACAAGCAGATATTGAATTCTAACCAGGGCTGGGGCACCCAGCAAGTTCAACTGTATGAAGAGGGAAAACTTGCCCAGTAGCAGAATGGTCCGGTGAATAGAACAGAGATGTTGATAGAATGCCTCAGATTCCATTATTAGCAGAGATAAAATGATAAATGTCTTAAGTGGTTCCTGTATATTATTTCTCTAAAATGTGAAAACAACTTTGATTAGCTGGTTTCTGAATTTCTGACAGAAGAGTCAGAAGCTCTGAAAGCCGAATGCAGTGTAGAGAACAGAACCTGCCCAGTGCTGGCACTGGGCAAGTCTGTCTTATGGGTAAAGAGTATCTCTGGCCTCAGGCCAGTCTCTCAATTCTCTGTCTTTGGGGCCACAACTTTCCCACTCTCTTAGACAACCAGTTTCCTATGCCCTCTTCCTTCTGTCCTAATAAAACCTAAGCTTGCACAGAGGAGCAAATGGCAAATGATCTAACACCACCTTACACCTCTGTAGAGTCTTGTATTCAAAGTGCTTTCATAGAACATTGAAACTGTCTGGATCAAAAGCAGCAGAAAGATTACCTCCTCCAGGAATAGGTCTGGTTAATCTCTAATGGTGGAATTTTAGGTATTATATTGTACCCAGCATCTTTGAAATTATCCCACAGATATACATAGATATAGATATCTATATATAGATAATATATAGAGAGATAATGTATCTGTATGGATATATTCTACCTTCTGTTTTTTGAAAGAGCTTTTATTTCTATGGGATCCCTATACTGTCCTTGTTTATACTATTTTTGGAGGTTTCTATGGATATAGTTTCTATATATATTATAGATAATATAGAGAGAGATAATACATTTATATAGATATATAGAGATATCTATATATATATATATCTCTGTGGGATAATTTCAGAGATGCAGGAGTTCATTGTTCATCTGTGCAGCAGCCTCTGATTCTGTGTAGAAACAGCAGGGACTTCCCAGGAGACTGGGAACAAGAACATGCCAAAGACAGGAAGAACCAGCCAGGTCATGCAAGGAATTTAGGATTATCTGAACATTTCTATGAAATTATCTGAACATTTCTAAGAAATACCTTTCTTCTTTCATTCTGGGATCTCCAAAATGAAGGTGATTTAATTAGAATTTGAAGTGTGCCGTAAGGAGATTAGAGCTGACCTTTGTCACCTGCCCACGCTACCTTTGAGACCTGTCAGATTTATCACCATCTCTGGGGAGTCCTGGAACAAAATCACCCAAACAAACCCTTCTGAGTGGAGGACTCCCCACCTTCTTTGGTGTTATTGTTATTGTCATCTTTCAACTTTGAAGTTAGAACCTGGTTTCTGGAAGACTCTACAATGTCTTGGAAGCTAAACATTCAATACATGGACAATTGTGGATAATATAGATAACCTAAAAGAAGAAGATCATTATCACTAGTAATTTTACTATTTAGTGCTAACTGTGTTCAGTTTGGTGTGTATCTTGTGTGCTTTTTAAAACAAAAATGGGATTATATAATTTGTACTTTTTAGTAAACATACAGTAAGCATCTCTTAATGTTAGTTATTCATCATCAACAGGGGTCAGTAAATTATGGACCACAGGCCAAATCTGGCCTGCAGCCTGTTTTTGCAAATAAACTTTTACTGTAACATACTCTTTTACATATTGTCTGTGGCTGCTTTGATGCTGTGAGCGAAGAGGTGAATGGTTGCAATAGAGACCATGTGGCCTGCAAAACCTAAAATATTATCTGGCTCTTTACAAAAAAAGTTTACCAACCCCTGATCTACAACCTAACTAATAATCATAATAACTGTTGTCAAGCACTTACTATGTGCTGAGTGCAGAATCATCCTTAGGAACATGGGTTCTGAGTTAGTCATCCTGGCTGTGATTCCTAGCTCTGCCACTGACTACCTGTGGGACTATGGATAGGTTCATAAGGCTCTGCAGGCCTTAATTTCCTTGCTTGTAAAATGGGGATAACCCTATTATCTCAAAATGTTGTGAAGCACTATGCCTGGCACAGAGAGACAGTAATTTTTAGTTCCTAGTATTCTCATTGTTTCTTAATTATTATTTTCTCCGTTTAGCATCAAGGCAGCCCTGGGGGATTTCTATCCTTGTATGAGAAACATGAGGCTGACAGAGGTTAGGTAACTTGCTTGCGGGTTATCCACATAGTAAGTGGCTGCAAGGTCATTTATTCCTTACCTTGTTTATTCAGTCAGTTGTCAAAGTCAAAATAAAAATGTAGAGATGAATCTCTAAATTTAATGTTTTATTTGGGAAGAAAGAATTGCAATTTGGAGCATACAGGCAGGCTAGGTTGTCTTTGGTATGCTTGAAGAATAAAGAGGAGGCTGGAGGTTTTATAGAAAGGAGAAATGTTATGTCTTGTTCTTTGAGGAAATTAATTGGCACTATTAAAGTTTAGGGAGCTGGCAAGTTTTGGTTGGTGAGTGACAGTGGTGGGTAAAACTAGTATTAAAAGTTGTAGCAGGTTGTTTCAGCAACGATTAGATATAAAACTGGTCTAAGTTTATATAGCAAGCAGTTTCAGCATCCAGGCTTGTAGAGAATTACATTTTTTGAGCAATGTTATATGCCCTGAGTGCTTTCTCCCCCTGGCCTCATGACTCTGTTTTAGTTGGCTATGACAAGAATGACCTAATTTGTGTGATCAACTTTCACACAATCAAAAAATATTTGACTGTCTCTCATGAGCCTGCTGCTCTCCTAAGAGCCAGGGACTCTGTGATGAATTAGCAGAATCCTTGCCTTATAGTGGCTTCTTCTCTAGATGAAGGGAGAAGACGATAGGAGATAAATAAAACAATGATTTCAAAATGTCATTAATTATGAAGAAAATAAAACCGGATGGTGGTGCAGAGAGTCTGATGAAGAGAGAGTTACTTGAGCTAAGACAATCAGGAATGGTTTCTGAGGGGATGACATTCAAGCTGAGACCTGAAGAATGACCAGAAGCAAGTCATGCATCTGTCTGGGAGAAGAACATTTTAGGTAAAAAGAGCAACTGTGCCGTCACTGAGCTTGAAGTGGTTGGGAGAGGGGTAGGAAAGGAACAGTGAGGTGGAAGCGCTTGAAGTGTGAGTGACAATGGGGAGGGTGGTAGAAAATGACATTAGAGTTTGGATTTTTATTCTCAGTGTGGAGAGTTTTAAGCAGGAGAACAGGCAGGGGCAGATGGGTGGGACGTGGGTGTGAGGAAGACAGAGGAATCTGTTTAGGATGATGCCTAGGTGTTGGTGTCAACAATTCATGGATGGTAGTACAATGTACTTAGATGTCGAAGACTGAGGAACAGGCTTGTGTGTGTGTGTGTGTGTGTGTGTGTGTGTGTGTGTGTGTGTAATTAAGAATTCATTTGGGACATTTTACGTTTGAGATCTCTTTTAGACAACCAAGTGGAAGCGATGAGGAGGCAGTTGGATTATTGAATTTGAAACCCAAGGAAGGATTAGAGCTGCTGTTGTCAATTTGGGAATCATCAGCTTAAAGAGTCATCAGTTTAAAGCCCCTGAGACTAAGTGAGATCACCAAGAAGAGTACAGATAGAGAAAAGGGTCCCAGATCACATTTTGGGATCCAAGTGAAAGTAACTAGTAAAGGAATGTTTAGTGAGGTAGGAGGGAAACCAGAAGAGTGTGGTTGTTAAACTAGGAAAGAAAGTGTTTCAAGAAGAATATGGTTAAACGTTTCAAATGTTTCTGAAATACAAGACAATTGCCTATAGAATCTGGGGAAAAGAAGGTTGTATGTGACCTTGAAAAAAGGATTTCGTGCAGTGGGGAAGGATGTCCAGTCAGTGGGTCGAAGACAGCAGCCTGTGATCAGTAAGAAAACCACTATCATTTAATGAAGGAAAACCACTGCCATTTAATGAATGCTTTACTTTATGTTGGATATTGTACTAAGACTTTATATTAATTCTTAATTTGCACAACACAATGAATGATAATGTTGTCAGTATTTTAGAGAGGAGGAAACAGATTCAGAGAAGGTATGTACTTTGCCCAAGGTAGCACAGCTATTAGGTATGTGAAGTGCTTAGATTTGGACAGAAGTCTGTCTGGCTCTGAAGGCTTGTGTCCCTATCCACTGTGCACATTGTCTTCTAATCAGGTCACAGGGAACATCTATAGAGATAGTTGTAGAACTCATGTCTCCTGTGAAGCAGAAGATAGGGCTTGCTTTTTTTTTTTTTTTTTTTCGGTACAATTTGCATGTAAAATTATTCCGGACTGCTAGCAGTTGGCACTTTACTGCCATCTGCCATTATTCCTTAGAAAATCCCAGCTCTAGCACAATAAGATGAGGTGTTAGTGGTAAAAAGGTAATGGTTTATGTTCATTGAGCAGGCAGCTCCAGAAACTCATAATGTAAGTCCACTAATAAGAGTACAAAGATATCAGAACACCATCACTGTTCTTTAGTCCTGCTCTGTGCATAACAAAAATATACAGAGGAAAGTTAGGCAGCAGGCTATGCTCAGAAGTGCAGTATAAATATTAACTCTTAATCTTGTAATTTTGGGTAATCTGACTCAGGACAAAAAGTCCAGCAAGATGGGACCCCAGTGGTTGATACCCTGGTATTAACAATATAAGAAACAAATGTCATATATGGCAATAAGAAGTAATGTGTTCTGAAGAGAGCATCATGTGACTTGATGCTGAGAATTAGTGTCATTCTCGTAGGGTTAAAGCTACCAATAGCTCAACTATTAAGAGCTGAGAAATATGCTTCCTAGGAATCTCTGTGGTATGCAGGCTAATGGTGTATGCCTTGTTTCAGGCACACTTGGCTTTGAATCCTGGTTTCTTTGCATCTTAGTTGTATGACCTTTTAAAGTTTCAATGTTCTCCATCTGTCAAATGGGGATAATAACACCTACCCTCTTACGGTTGTGAAGATTAATGATAAAACGTTAAAATGACAGAATAAATGGTAGTGGTTTTTATTATAGTATTTGCAAGTGTGAAGGAACCAAATTGCTTGTTTTATTTATTGTGAAACAAGAACAAGTACAGCTACATACATAGATCCATACATTTCTTTTTCAAAGAAACACTCCTGTCTCCAGGGAGTTATTAAAAGTTTTACATGTTCACATTAATTCCAGAGAATTTATAATCATAAAATCCATTTATAGCCCTTAGTTGCCAAGCAACAAAGGACAAAGTACTGAGTATTTCCTTTTATTGCAAAAGGTTCAGCTTTTCCATGTTGGTCTTGAAATCTACATTTTTCAGAAAACACAGAACAGTGAAACTTAATATATTTCCAAGATTTAGTTGGCATTCTTTGTTTGGGGTTAGACTCAAAGCTGAAAGAAATATATTGTTATTATTGTCCTGTTCTTAGATCGTCTGAAGGATTTTGTTCTAATTTTATAGTAAATCTGTAAGAAGTTCTGAAGTTGAGAGACTGCAAATTCATTTTAAGGAGATAACTTTTTTCAGTTTACCTATGTTCTGTGATGCTCTCATTTTAAAAGAACCGGTTCTTGTATCTATCAACTGTCTTTCAGGAAAGGCCGGGGTGGTATAAAATTCATACAGAAAAATGCTATCTGCTGACCTTGTTAATCACTGACCTCAAGTAGGTCATTCAGCCATGCCTTGGCAGGGTTTGGGGAAGCTGGCTCAGATCTGAACTAAATTCTCTACCTCCTTAAAAGGGATAGAAGTTTTTAACTACTTCTGCTGTTTTTGTTCATGAAAAACCAGAAGTAAAGGTTTGAAAGTCCATATAATCCAGAAGGATATATTACTATTTAACATCCCATAAAGAACTCCAGTACAACTCATATATTTAACCGCTCATAAAAGCATGCATGGGAAACAGTTTCTTAATTTGCATAGCTATTTTTTTATTCATCTGTATTAAAACAGTGCAAAAGCAGATTAGACATCTTTGGAATTTTACTGCCCTTGTTCCTATCTGTGTTCTGTATATGTAGTGGATTCCGTAGATGGAAAGAGAGAAGACAATGATCCTCTTTTTTTCTTCCATTGTTGGATTAGGGAAGCTTGTTGCTTTGAAACAAATCTATTGATAAGTCTCATGAAAGTTCCTGACATGGAAGAGGTTCCCTTGTCCCCCTCACAGGGTGTGTGACAGGGGCAGTGGCTCGCTTCTTCAGTGCCCTGCTGCTCAAACCTCTAGGAGAGCATACAGACGGGCAGGCTGTGGGGCTCCAACACCATGGCAGTGTCTAGAGGTGAATGCTTACAGCTCCTAAAGCCCCAGTGGATGTGTGTTACAGTGTGCTCTTTTAGTTTTGCCGTCTATAGGCTTGTGTTAACCACCTCAACTAGACCCTCTACCTTGTCGCAAGGACAAGAGGGCTTTCTTTATCCTGGGTTCTTGCCTTGGTGTACCGGAAGAATCGGATCACACGTGGGCTTGGAGAATGAGTGCAAGGTTTTATTGACTGGAAGTAGCTCGCAGCAGGTGGGGGAACCAGAAGGGAGTTGGTTTTCCCACTCAGTGGCCCGGATTGCCCTGGCCAAATTCCGTGTGCTTCTGCCGGTCAGGGGCTAGCCGGCATGCCGGTGTGGGTCCATTCCTCTTGACGTCCAGCCGCCTGTGTGTTCCTTCACCAATGTGCTCCTCTTGCCCTCCAGCTGCTTCTGTCTCTGCCTTGCTGGGGTCTCGGGTTTTTATAGGCACAGGATGGGGGACGTGGCAGGCCAGGGTGGTCATGGGAAATGCAGCAGAAATGCCTGTCCTCACCTAGGTCCATGGAGGTGGAGCCCTAACTAGGGAACACACCCTCCTCTACCCAGCACTCCCGCATCAGTCCTATGTGCAGGAAGAGGCAGAAATGACACAAATGATTATAATTCCACAAGATAACAGCTAGTCAAAGCTCTTCTGCTAAGAGTAAATATTCCTTGGAACGATTTTTCTGTGTGAATATAAGAGTAAGATCTAGCTGTTAGCATGAGCAGGCTAATTCCAGTCAATCAGAAGAGGGACACTTTAAAATCTATTATCCATCCATCTCAAGTGTTGTTCCTTAAGAAGCATTTGAAGAACTGCCATTAGCTCCTTTTATCCGTATAAGGATAAGACAAACAAAAATTTGCTTCCTTCCCCTGAGAGAGGCAGGTTTCTGTGTGAGAATCTGAAATAACCTTTACTGGTGGTGAGGAGGTCAGGTCTGTGAAACAATGCTCAGGACCTGTCCTCCCCTTTGCTGGCTTTTTGTGAAAATGTTAGAAAAAACAAAAATCTATAGACGGCCACCAATATTAACGTGTGTTTATTTTGCCAGTTCATTCTTAACCCAACTTCAAAGTTTCTTTCTCACTCTGCCATTTGTGTTATGCTTGCTTATAGAGTTTGACATTTTACAAACTCTTGCATTTCCATCAACTTGTTGGTCCTTCACACATTTAAAAAAAAAAATTGAGCCTTAACAAATTGACAGATATGCCTAAAATCGGATTGGTAAATTTCAGGCAAGACCCTGTGTTTTCATTCCAAGTCCAACACTTTTTTCATCTGCACACCACTCCGCCTACCCAGAGGGAAGAGCAGGGAAAGACAGGTATTGGCCCATTAGCTTCCGTATTCTAGAACGAGATGCCAATAAATATAGTCAGTATTTGGGAAAATTGCCTCCCTTCTATCCTCCTCTCACTCACTTACCCCTAGCCATTGTATAATTGCTCACAAACTGGCCACTGGCTACCCAACTCCCTCTTCAGGACAGAGTCAAAGTTTCCATCTTTTCGGACTTTGCCTAACCCCCTGCTTGGATGTAACTGATCTGTCATGAGTTCAACAATTGGTTCATTGTTCTGAGCCCTGTCTCCGGGGGAGTGGAGAGGAATTGGAAAGGGATGCACACTTACTGTGTGCCATGAACCAGTAGTAGATTCATATATGTTATCACATTTCATCTGCAAGCCACTCTGTAAGGTGGTAAAACCCATCTCCTTCATCCAGATGAGGAAGTAGGCCCAGAGAAGTTAAGCAAAAGTAGAATTTAACCCAGGCCTGCCTGACTTGCAGTTTTCTAAGTCTCATGCTCTTCTTACCTCTGGGTCACATGGGGCTTCCTCCTTCTGGAGCACACTTCCCTGCCTTGTTTACTTGGTTAACTTGGTTCACTCAAGATTCTGGCTTTGGCGTCATTCCCTCAGGGGCTCCCAGTGTGTTTCCACAGTACTTTGCACTTCACCTTTCAAAGTATGTAATGAATGCCTTTTTTCCGTGTCTGTCTCCTATGGACACCTGGAAGGAGGGAACTATGCCTTCTTCATTCTTGTAGCCTCTGCACCTAGGGACTGGTACATAGCAGTCACTCAAATGTATGTGTTGAGTCAATAAATAAAAAACTCAAATCCCTTTTCCAGGATTCCAAGTCTTCTGGATTTCCTTCTTTATCCTGCAACTGGCTAAAGACTAGGCCCTCAGACAGTGCTCTATTTGACTGTCCTTTCCCTTTCTGCCTGACTCGGGAGGACAGAAAGGCATTGCTGGGGAAGGACAGGCACTCCTGAAAGCCATAATGAGCAGTTTTCTTGTCACATCTTGCTGAACTTGTGCCATGCAGTGTCAGCCCAGGGGACATTGATTTAATATTTAACACTGTACATTCCAGGTGAGCCAACTCACCTGCAGCGCCTGTGGGTGGTGTCTCCTCCTTAGCTGTCCTTCCTTTTGAAAGGCTTTTTCCCTTCCTCCTCTGCCTCCTCCTCTTCTCCCCTCTGTTTTTCTTCTTCATCTTCCACCTCCTTTTTTGGCCTTGGGCAAATTAGACTTTCTAATAGGCCAAACCAGAATAATAATTCTTCCAAACTTTGGTTATAAAATCAATGAGATTATTCACTTCTATGAGACATGTTCCTGTCATTTAAAAGAAATTGTCAGCTTCTCTTTCCCAAATTTACCTTCTATGGCTAAAGTTAATGTTGCTTAACATGTAGTCAATTGTGTTTTATTTCTTTTTGGTTGTTTTATTTATTCTTCTGTATATTAACATTAATGTGTGTTGTCGAAGAAAAAATGTATGTAACATAAAAGTTTAATCCTCACATTGTAGGACTGGAAGAAGGCTTAGCTGTAAAGTTTCTCAAACTGCTGGAAAAATTGATTCCCAGACTTCCAGAAAGGCCAGAGGATCATGCTTAATTTATATTTCAAATCACTAATTTAAAAGGAGAAGTGTGAACTTGATAATGTACTAGTAAAGACCCTGAAATACTTTTACCATGATAGAGGTTACATGATGCAATGAACTAGTCACTTTCCCTTCTTAGTTTGAATCCCATTAAAATTTTTAGATTATTCACTGAGAAGCTGTGCAAAGCCACAAGTGCAGCTCTCTAAAGACATCGAGCCAACCAGCAGTCATTTATTCTTTACCCTGAGTGATTCCTAAGTTTGTGAAAAAGCAATGAAGGATGGATTCATCTGGCATTTTAGTAACCGTAATGCTAAAGGAACGTAGATCCATAATATTTTAAAGTTATATATGACTGACCCCATCAGCAGGCACACCCACCTTCTTTCCTGCAAACGGAAGCCAAATTAGTTCAGATAGAGGAGGAGAGTCCTTGAACCCAGAAAGAACAGGTTCTGACTCAGCTTTATCAGATGAATTGTAATTCATTTAAACTAGTTATCATCATCTCAATTTCCCCCTCTCTTTTCCCTTGGTCTTCATAATTCAGCACTGCAACTCTTCTTTGCAACCCCTTCTACTATTTCCAAATGAAGACTAAATGCTAATATTTGCTGAAGTACTTAGCAATATTAATAATAATTTAACATGTCTTAAATTTGTATTAGACATGTCATTGTTTTTATTAACTTTTAATGTTTTTCTTCAACTCTACATTCTTCTGCTATTTTTTACAATTCTGCAAAAAGCAAAGTTGTTCAGGAACACGTACATTATGTTATAGTAGAAAACACCTGAGCCCCTGCAATGACACTTGTGTTACTGAACTTGAGCAATACTTAAGCTCGCTAAGACAACTTCTCTGAAAGATAGGGATAATAATAGTACCTATCTCATAGAATAAAATTGTTTTGAGTATTAAATGAGAAAGTAAATGTAAAATTCTTAGCATAGTATTGGTACATAATAAGAGTTCACTAAACTTACCAAGTATTATCAATCTTCTCCATTGACTGTCTCTCAAATGGCTTAGCTCATGATTCTTTTGCTCCTTACTGGATCTCCTGTGGATCCCCTACTATTTGTTAGCATTCCTTTTAAAACCTGGGTCCCACATCCTCAAGATCTGACCTATGCATAGAGGAACAGGAATTGCACTATCCTAGTTCTGTACTCAATACTTTTATTATTATACTCTACATTAGTTTCCTTGTCTTTTCAAAACCTATGACAAAACTAAAAGACCCATGTCTTTGTCATCTATTCATTCATAAGCCAAATTTCCCCATATTATATTTACATAATTAGAAAAACCGATGCAAACATGTATGCTTAACCTACTAAATCTCATCCTGCCAAAGTCAGCTATGAATGCAATCAGTCACGATTAGAGTCTGACGCTTTCTACTATATTGTACCTTGCCCACTGCCTTCAGGCTGTCTGAATGTATGTCCAGTTTGCCTTCTCTATATTTTTCCGAATTACAAATAACATTATTGAGAAGGATGCGAGCAGGTAATTAATTTCATGCTGAATTTTAGGATTTTCTTCAGGTTAGCTCTCTGGGGGACAGTTATTCTCCCAGGTACAAATTCACCTGATTCTAGCATAATTTCCTCTACATTTCTCCATCTTAGCTATAAATACAGCCATTTTTGACCTCTCCTCTCTACTCCCCAAGTTGTATCAAAAGCTCCTTCCAAATGTCTGCTTGGGTCTGACATCCCGCTGCAGTGTTCCTGCCTGTTGACTTCCCTGTGCTCCCCTCTCCTGCCTTAGTGCTGCTCACTGTTGTATCCTTGTGCCTAGCACACTGCTCTTCATTACATATGCAATAATTTTGAATGAATAAGTTCATTTAGCGTCTAGTTGAAATAAAGATATACATTTCCTCCGAGAGTCTCCTAATCTGCCGGTCAGGCAGCTGAACAGGAAAGGCAATGAAGCCCATTTGCATGGCTAGTTCTTGGTAGACACATGCAGGTTTCTGGATGTTTTCTGCTGTTCTTAGAGTCCAGCAGCCAAGTTTTTAATAATCCTTGCCAAATTTTTGCATCTGTGACAGTTTTAGAAAACCCACGTGGGGGTTGCCATCCTGTTACACAATGTGCTTGAACTATTTACTCAAGTTGAATAAAGGTTAATTTTTATTTTATCTCTCAATTATCAGGCACATAAATTCCAGGTGATTCATGTCATGTGAAAGTCCAGCCAGAGACAGTCTTTTAATTCAGTTATTATTTCCAACAATGGGTCACGTTACTTCCGTTTGAAATAACTGATTAGATTCTTCTTGGGTCAGTGTAAAACTATCTGCACAAGGAGACTGGGAGATTCCCAGGATTCCAGGTTGTTAGGTGGAGTTTTTCTTGGGGGCAGTGCCCTGCTGCTCACTTCTATCTCCAAGAGTACAGAAGAGTACATGGCCCCATGCAGATAAACTCATGCTCCTTCCCCGGCTCCTCATCCAGTTCTCTCATATTTGCTATTTCAAGTGACCAGCATGACCATCAAGACAGGGACTGGGGAATCACCTAGATTTCTTACAGTCAGTCACAAAATTCAATGGCTTATCCTCCCAAATACTAGCCACATACAGTGATGTGGTAAATGTTTAATGAGCAACTCTCTAGTTTTAGGGGAAGGGAAAGTTGGGAAGCAGCCCTGATTTGTAGCATTTGCTCATTTCCATGGTGTAAATGCTCTCACTATGGCTGATTTCAAGCTACTCACATGATGTTAAATATGAAGTTGGAAGAGATGTGCACAAGCTTGTACAACCTGGCTCCAGCACATTGCTGCACATTCTTCCACTTTCCTGACCACACCACACCAGGTCAGACTTTCACAGCATTCAAGGCCCTAGGATCTGTTTCTGTTGATAGTTGTAGCCTTGTTGACCCCCGCTCTTAGAAGCTTTTCCTGGCATCTTTTTGCTCCTGTTGAGTCATTAAAGTGCCCCACAATGCCCTGTGTGCATCTCTGTTGTCACATTATCTTGCTATGATATGTTTTTATGTCAGTTTTTCTTACTGGTCTATAAACTTCTTGAGCACAGAAACTAATGGTAATGACAAGGGGTAGAATTTATTGAGCTGGGACCTATGCTAAGCACTTTGCTTGTATTATCTCATTTAATTCCCACAACTCCTCTGTGAGGTAGATGCTTGTATTAGCCTCATTTTGAAAATGAGGAAAGTAAATAAAGGAAGACACTGAGAGGCTAGCTAACTTATCCTGGGTTACACAGCTAAGTCTCAGCAAAGATGTAAGCCCTAGCCTGACTATAGAACCAGAATCCTTAACTACTATTGCTTCTTTGTGTTTGGGTCTCTAACCCTTAGCACTGTGCCTGGCCCATATCACATGTCCACTGTGTTAAGAAATGCAATGTGGGAAGTTTATGCTGGCAATGTCCTTGACTAGTCTCTTTAAACTAGTCTTGCCCAGCTTCAGTGCAATCTCCCAACTGCAGGCTAAATGATCTTTCAGAATTATAAACCTAATCACATCACTCCCCTGCTTAAAGATTTTCAATGACTCTATCACTTTCAAAATAAAGTTCTTATCATAATACACTTTCCACCATTCATAATTACATTTATTCATTCACAGCTTTATTTACTCACCTAACAAGGTCAACATTTATTGAATAGCTATAATATTCTACATCCTGTTCTGGATGCTTAGGATTTGTATAATAAAAAATAATTTTTGCCCTAGAAAGGCTTAGAGTTGAGCAGAGAGAAAGAGATGCACAACACATAATTGCTATGGTGATTGAAATAAAAGCACATACAGCTGGCAGTGGGGTCCGGGAATGGTGTGGCCCTCAGTCTCTACCATGTTCTTCACCTGCCTCCTGGCTGTGGTCAGACTATGGGCATGTTTCCAGAGTCCTGCTGTTGATTATTTGAATTTATTTGCACATGCCTTTTTTGTTCCTAGGATGTTTATCATCTTTTACCTAGTGAATCCCTACTTAACCTTAAAAAGCCCTCTCAGGTGTCACTGATAGGAAGTCCTTGGCTCACCCCAGGCCAGCCTAATTAAAAGGCTTCCATAGTATCCAAGCACACGTTCATCATTACTTAACACCTTGCATTGCTATAGCTGATTTTCTTGTCCCTCTCACTGGACCGTGAGCTTGTTTCTGATTTTATTTCAGGACACAGAATGAACACTAAGTAAATGTGTAAGTAAATGAATAAAGCAATTAGTTAATTAATGATTGGTAATATCTCTAAGAAAATGTCATCCTTACTTCTCTAACTCTGGACTGGTTGTGTCTCTACACACCAACATTAGATTTTAGATCCAGTACTACATTTAATGGATTTTTCAAGGCAAAAGTATTCTAAGCAAATGAGAGAAGTAGAGTATTTTATTTCTCTTTATCTCCTCTATCTTCTTTTCTTCCTCTCCTCTTCCTTCTTCTCCGAAATATCTATTAACATTTCTGCTCCAGTTTTTCATGAACACTGGCATGTCAGAGGGAAACTATGTTTAAATCCAGAAAGCAACCCTTTGGGAGACCCTCATTATTATTTTTAAAATCCTTTAAACAACTAGAGTTGTTGGAACAAATTTTGTCATCTTGCCAGTTGTCTGAATTCTCTGGGCGTCACTGTGTGCACCAAGTGTGAAAGAATAAATCAAGAAGAGGGCCTTATCACTGTTGGGGAAAGTGATGAAGAAAGCTGTTGGATGGAAATAAGAAAAGATCTTTATATAGGACTGGCAGGTGGTGAGTGGAGAAGGCAGGGAGTCCTGAAAGCAAGGTCTTTGCTGTGCCTTCCCTGCTCACGCCCTTGGAGAAGCCCCATAGGCATATGTAGATTTTTTAGTAGGTCCTGTGGGTACAACTTGGTTGTGTTTGTAGTACTCCCTGATGGACTCATCTTCATAACCAAGTGCCTTTTTATTGTCTTCCTACGGCCAAGAGCAGCAGTACATGTTACTGTCTTACAGCTCTTGCTGCTCCTGGAAAGGGAGGCAGAGAATGAGGGTGAGGAAGAGCTTTGCTTTACAAAAGCAGTGCAGGGACAGCTTCTCTGACACACCCAGGAGGCCTACGCAGCTTCTCCCTTTGTAAGCAAAACTGTGGCAGCCCTTCCTAGCTACAGAAGTAAAGAGTGGAACCTGATTTCAAACTGAGCCTCCCTGATGGGGGATAGGATGCTTAAGGGTGCCCTCTTGGCAGGCTTGGGTGTTATAAACAAGTGTTAAAAACATTTAGAGCAAAGCGATTATTTTTAAAAGCATGAGATTTATTTTAGGAGCCATTTGAGAGTTGTTCTCTGTGTGTAAAACCTCCTGAAAACAATTTTATCTGACACTGTGGATTTATCTTTTTGAGTAATTTCCTTTGGATTTGGAAAACACAGATAGGATTTTGGAGTCCAAGAGGAAGCCAGTTACTGCAGGGATCATCTCTCCTTATTCATTAAGGCGTTTGGGCAAGCCACATCAGGCAGGTCCTAGAGCTGTGGCCCATCTCCTATTTCTACCTGGGGGAGCAGGTTGGGGCCGGTGGGTGATCTAAAGCAGGTGACACAGGAGTCAGGTCTTAGAATCTATAGGCCACCTCCTATTTCTACCTGGGGAATTGTGTGGCGGGTGTGGAGGGGAGAGTGAAGGGTGCCATATAAAGCAGATGGGACACCAGCAGGGGCTTCAGAGGAAATCTAAACAGATTCTTCCCTCCATCTGCTTCTGTTAGCAGTCGGCTTGCCCTAAGCCCAGTGAAGCAGTAGAAGCAAGTCAATCCTCCCTGCAGTTGGCTGGCATTGCTGGGGAGGCGGCGGGGCACGGGGCGGTCGTGAGAGCACGATCAGTAGCCTGGGTTGGCTTCCCTGTGTGTCACTTACAAGCTGTGTGACTCTGGGCAAGCTGGTTAACCTGTGTAATCACTTGGCCTTATCTGTAAACTGGGAGTAGTATTGATGGACACCTCCTAGGGCTGTTAGGAAGATTAAATAAGATCACATAAGCAAAGTGCTTGTTCTTTTGCTTGGCTCAGAGTGAGAAATTCAAACTCTGAGCATCCCTGGGTAACTGCAGAAGTATTTAAATTGATCTCCTTCTCTTCTCGTCCCCTTATAATCTTCCCACAAGCAACCAGAATGACCCTCGAAAACATAAAGTATATGATGTCACTCTCCAAAGGCTTCCTATTGCTCTGCCCTCCTGTCCTACACCCATGCTCCTGTGCTCTAACCCATTGGATGATTTGTTTCTTGCTACTGCCATTTTTTCTCCACCTGGCACGCTCTGCCCTTGATCCCTGCATGGCTGGCTCCCTCCTGAGAGAGGCATCCGCATAGAAAAGTGTTCCCTCCATCACAGTCTGTTATACCAGCCTGTTTTGTTTTCCTCACACTCTGAAAATATCCTTTTATTTGTTATTTTTTATATGTTATATGTGTCCCAACCTACCCCCAATGTCACCTCCTTTCCCTCCCTTAGAATGCAAGCCCTCTAAGGGGTTCTTGTCTTCTTTTTCACAGCTGGGTCCCCAGAACTTTGTGCAATGCTTGGCACATGGTAGGTCCTTAGTAAATTGTGGTTGAATCTATGAAAGAATGAAGATGTCTTGTCCATCCTAGCCTTTCTTCAAAGTCTAACTGAAGACTCAACTCCACTATGAGGTCATTTCTGACCATCTAAATCTCTAGGAATCACTCCTGTGAATCCAGGAGGCATGTGGGATATATTCCACTCATTTTCATCTTAGCTCATGTCAACAAATTGAGTTGGTGATGTCTCCTCCACTATTTTCACAATTCTAAAATGTAGAGAAAGAAGAAAAGCCTCCAAATTCTTTTTATGAAGCCAGCATAAAACTTGAGGGGTATTGGAGTGAGGGATAGAAAGCAGAACTATTATGTATTTAAACTGTACCTGGAAAAAACCCACAAAATTTATTAAGAACTCATTCAATTATCTGTCATCTATTTCAGATTTTAATAAGATGAAAGAAAAACTTTATGACTTTCCACTGTTGGGAAAAGCGAAAAAAAAAAAAAAAAAACCTTGTTATTTCAGGTTCTACAGATGTGAATATTATAATCCTCTAGCAAAGCAAAGCACGGAACAAAGTATACCTCACAGAATGGAGATTGGGAGTTGCCAAAGATAATACCTGCATCATGCAGTGCTCTTGACACCCTTCTAAATGATGGGATTGAGTGCATTTGTTTATCCGTGGCAGCTTAGAGAACAGTTGACTCCAGCAAAACTGGCTCTCCTCTGCATTCAGCACAAATAAACTCCTTGCCTTAGTTTAACCCTTGGATGCTGGCTTTTAGATATTGGCTATTGACTATCTTTTTTTTTTTTTTTTTTTTTTTTTTTATGACTGCCACAGTACTAGATACTTTTGTATGTCTCATTCTTTTTTGTTTGTTTGTTTGTTTATTATTATTATACTTTAAGTTTTAGGGTACATGTGCACAATGTGCAGGTTAGTTACATAGGTATACATGTGCCATGCTGGTGTGCTGCACCCATTAACTCGTCATTTAGCATTAGGTATATCTCCTAAAGCTATCCCTCCCCCCTCACCCCACCCCACAATAGTCCCCAGAGTGTGATGTTCCCCTTCCTGTGTCCGTGTGTTCTCATTGTTCAATTCCCACCTATGAGTGAGAATATGCAGTATGCAGTGTTTGGTTTTTTGTTCTTGCGATAGTTCACTGAGAATGATGATTTCCAATTTCATCCATGTCCCTACAAAGGACATGAACTCATCATTTTTTTATGGCTGCATAGTATTCCATGGTGTATATGTGCCACATTTTCTTAATCCAGTCTATCATTGTTGGACATTTGGGTTGGTTCCAAGTCTTTGCTATTGCGAATAGTGCCGCAATAAACATACGTGTCCATGTGTCTTTATAGCAGCATGATTTATGGTCCTTTGGGTATATACCCAGTAATGGGATGGCTGGGTCAAATGGTATTTCTAGTTCTAGATCCCTGAGGAATCGCCACACTGACTTCCACAAGGGTTGAACTAGTTTACAGTCCCACCAACAGTGTAAAAGTGTTCCTATTTCTCCACATCCTCTCCAGCACCTGTTGTTTCCTGACTTTTTAATGATCACCATTCTAACTGGTGTGAGATGGTATCTCATTGTGGTTTTGATTTGCATTTCTCTGATGGCCAGTGATGATGAGCATTTTTTCATGTGTTTTTTGGCTGCATAAATGTCTTCTTTTGAGAAGTGTCTGTTCATATCCTTTGCCCACTTTTTGATGGGGTTGTTTGTTTTTTTCTTGTAAATTTGTTTGAGTTCATAACTAGTGGCAATCAGGAGCTACAGTTCTTTGGTAATTGTCTGGTGGGGTGGGAGGTTCTTGTGCCACTCAAACTGCTGCAGTAAGACAAAGGCTTAGTCAGAGGGCTCTGAAGGAAACTCACATTTCAAGGCCCTTTTGTTGTTGGGTGCTAATGTATTCTTCTGCTCAGAAACTGCAGAAAGGATGGGGTGAAGGAGGGCATATAGA
Source organism: Homo sapiens (assembly GCF_000001405.40). Taxonomy (NCBI): domain Eukaryota; kingdom Metazoa; phylum Chordata; class Mammalia; order Primates; family Hominidae; genus Homo; species Homo sapiens. The sequence continues at coordinate 69,847,289 of NC_000012.12, forward strand.
ACAGAGAGCATATGCCCCAATTATGCCACCTCTTTACTAAGGATTGTCAATCCAGTCCTTGCTAGTGAAGACATTCATTCATTCATTCAACAAATATTGTTTTTTTCAAAGAAAAAGTTCATTTTATTCTTACTCAGAGATGAACTTCTTTTATAACTTTATGATTACAAAAGTAATACATTTAAAGAATAAAACAAGTATAAAGAAGAGAAAACAAAACAAAGCACTATCACTGAAGATAATCACCATTAACATTTTGGATTCCATCTCTGTGGCTTTTCTATGCATTTGTTATCCAGACACATATACTTCCTCATTAGCTGGCTCTGGAGTCCTAGAAAATATTTACCTCGCTCTTCAAATGACTTCTCTCTCTCTCTTTAAAAAAAGAAAAAGAAAAAAGCTTTAGTACTATGAGGTTACAGTGATGAATAAGACAACTATGATTTTTGCCCTCATGAACCTTTTCTAGTAAGATATAGGCAATCATTAAGAAGCTTTGATTTGAGAATTATTAGTCCAAAACCTTAGAAGCAGCATTTGCTTTCAACCTTGCTTTTCATGTAGTCTGAAAAAATCAATTTTTATGTAGTCAAATTTATAGACTTTTTTTCTGTATATTTTTTGGTATTCTTATTATGGTTTAAGAGTCTTTTTCTCTTTCCAAAATATACAGACATCAGACATATGTGCCTGTTTTCTTCTAGTAATATTATGGTTTATCTAAATCCTCCATACATCTAGGAATTCATTTTGGTGTAGAGGTGAGACTCTAGTATAGAACATAGCTTTTTTTCATGGACATAAAATGATACATCTATCACAAACTAAATTCTCATAAGTATGTTTGGGTTTATTTCTGGACTTTATTATGTTCAAAATATTGGTCTGTTTATTGTTGCAACACAATATTTATATTACTTTTGTACATCTTGTTGGTAAATATCCCTTTTTTACTCACATGTTTTTTATTATCATGGGTATTTTCACATTAGCATTCTTTGAGATAAACTTTAGAATCAGTTTGTTTCCTTAAGAAATTTTTGATTGTAGATATATTAAATTTATAAATTAATTTAGGAGTATTTACATCTTTATACTATTGCCTTTTTTATCCAAACAAAATATGCTCTTAATTTATTCATCTTCTCTTCATTCTATCAGAATTTTAGAGTTTCTTCTTTTGATTTAATTTTATTCCTGACAATTATATTCCTATTATAAATGGATCTTTCTGCATTACATTTTCTCAGTAGCTGTTGTTTGAATATAGAAATCTATTTTTTATACATTACTTTTGTGGTGGTCTCCTTATTGAAGTTGCCTATTATTTTAAACAAGTTTTAGTTGGTATTCTTTGATTTTATAAGTTTAAAATATATGTCATATGCAAATTATTTCCACCTTTCTGACATTCATAACTCTCTTCATTTTCTTGATTAAGTGGGATGCTAGTGCCTTTAGCAGTGTATTGTGTAATAACATGGTAACTAAAATACTTATTTTATTTCTAACATTAATGAAAATACAGTAGTTCTAATTTTCTAAATCATTAAACATGACACTGGCTCTTATTTGTTTTTGTTTTTGTTATTGATTATTGAGACAGATCTTGCTCTGTCACCCAGGCTGGAGTGCAGTGCTGTGATCTCGGCTCACTGCAACCTCTACCTCCCGGGTTCAAGTGATTTTCATGCCTCAGCCTCCCAAGTAGCTGGGACCACAGGTGCATGGCACCACACCCAGCTAATTTTTGTATTTTTAGTAGAGACAGGGTTTCACCATGTTTGCCAGGCTGGTTTCAAACTCCTGGGCTTAAGTGATCTGCCCATCTCAGCCTCCCAAAGTGCTGGAATTACAGGCGCGAGCCATTGCGCCCAGCCAACACTGGGTCTTATTTGATGTTAGTTTTCTATCATAAACATAATATATATGTGCATATGAATATATATAATCTTAAGGATGTATTCATTGGAATTGATGTTGAATGCCTTTTGGCATTAAGAAGGTCAAATACTATTTTACCTTTGATATATGAATTCTAGTATTGAGTCATCTTTGTGTTTCTTGATGATAAATTTTTCTTTTAATGTTGAATTTCATTTGACAGCATTTTATTTAGGATTTGAGTATACCATTCACAAATTATATTAGTCTATGGTTTTCTTTATGCATTTCATCTCTATCAGATTTTGGCATTCATTTTATGCTAGCTTCATGAAAATACTTTGGATACTTTTATTCTTTCTCTGTTTCACAATTGTGAAAATGGTAGAAGAGTTATATTGTTAAAGTTTTAACAGCATGATCCTTGATGTCATTGGAACCTTGCTTGTTTATGCAGGGGTAGGGTGATGGTTATGGTGAAATTTTTCTCTGTTTATTCCAGGGCTATTTGTCATTTCAGACTTTCTCTTTATTTTTGAGTTGATTTTGGCAATTTGATTTTTTAATTGTTTTAGAAAATCATTTTACCCAAAGTTGTATAAAATATTTTTCCAAAGTTTAAAATTAGGACTTGAAAATAATGATCAATTGCCCTCAATCCTATAATCTAACCAGTGTTAATGGTGGTGGGATGTTATTTCATCATCTCTCCATGAATATCTACAGATAGAAGGATATGTGGGTGGATGGATGGGTGATGTGGTTTGGCTCTGTGTCCCCACCCAAATCTCATCTTGTAGCTCCCATAATTCCCACGTGTTGTGGGAGGGACCTGGTGGGAGATGATTGAATCATAGGGGGAGGTCTTTCCTGTGCTGTTCTTGTGATAGTGAATGAATTTCATGAGACCTCATGATTTTAAAAATGGGAGTTTCCCTGCACAAGCTCTCTTGTCTTGTCTGACACCATGTGAAATGTGCCTTTCACCTTCCACCATGATTGTGAGACCTCCCTATCTATGTGGAATTGTAAGTCCAATAAACCTCTTCGTTTTGTAAATTGCCCAGTCTTGGGTGTGTCTTTATCTGTAGCATGAAAACAGACTAATACAATCAGTAGGTAGATAGATGGATAGAAATTATCATTATAAGAAATGATCTTATATGCACTATTTTAATAAAATATTAAATTTAATATAAAATATTAATTTTACTTGAATTTAACAGAATAAAAATAACTTGAAGGAAAACTAAAGGAATTACAGAATTTTAATTCTGAAAAAAGTAATTATTTATTGTTAAAACTATCAGTTCTAAAGGATTCTTCCAAGATTAAGGAAAGGGGATTTAGAAAATGACTAAAAAGTTGAAGAAGTTTTTTTAACCAAATGGTACAGGTTTAGGTAGTAAAGACGAATTCTGAGATATGAGTGGTGAGATAATTAGTATTACATCTCTTCCCACCTCCCATCTCCCTGCCTTCCAATTTTTGTTGATTATATTATTTTTTCTTTGTCAGGGTTTATTACTTTTCCATTTTGATCTGTAGCCAAAATCCCCTTAGAATTTCAGTCTAAATCCTATATTTACATGAATTCGCTCTTCATCCATGGTTGTTTTTCACCTCAGTTTCTGTATTCTTTGTTTTTTTTCTTGTGATTCATTCTTGATTGGCTGAATTTTATTGTTAAGGAGCTACTTTCAAGAGGGACTTAAAGGAGTCTTATACCCTCAACTTTTTCATTTTGGAATTGTCTATCTGTTGCCTTTATATTGGGAAAGAAATTCACCGCATACAAGATTTTGCAACCCACTTTTTTCTCTTGAGACATTGTAAAATTTATTACAATGGCTGCATAATATTTCATGGAATGGATCTTACTTATGTAATATTCTTGTCAAACATATACAATTTGAATTTAACCATAAGATAATAGGAGGCAAACTAAAACTGAGGGACATCCTATAAACAACTAGCCTGTACTTTTTGAAAAATCTAAAAAGACATGATAACCCAATGCATTATGTTATTCTGGATTAGATTCAGGACTGGAAAAAATTGTCTATAAATGCTTATTACCTGGATGATGGGATCTATACTTTAAATCTCAGCATCATGCAATATACTTATGGAACAAACTTGCACATGCACCCTTTATTTCTAAAATCAAAGTTGAAAGAAATAATTTTTGCTGAATACCGAGGCTTAAACCAAAACAGAACATATTTCAGTTTGTTTTTCATTTTTTGTATTAAAATACTTATGAACATCAAAACATGCTAAAACTATTGGGTAAAAATTTGATGAGAAACAGTATGTATGCAAAATCTCAAAGTATCTCCCCACAAATTATAAAAGGAGAGCTTTTACAGTGAGGAAAGCTGGCAGACAGTACTTTAACCAAGGAATCAACATTAACATCAGTCATAACAGAACATTATTATCCTTCTGATGTAAGGCACTGAGAAGGACATAATATCACTTACATAATATTTTATTTTGAGACAAGGTCTAGCTTTGTTGCCTAGGCTGAAGTGCAGTGGTGCGATCATGGCTCACTGTAGCCTCAACCTCCCGGGCTCAGAAGAACCACCCACCTTAGCCTCCTGAGAATCTGGGACTACAGACACACACCACCATCTTGGCTCATCTTTGGGGGAGTTTTTTGTAGACATGGGGTTTCGCTACGTTGCCCAGGCTGGTCTCCAACTCCTGAGTTCAAACAATCCACCTGCCTTGGCCTCCCAAAATGCTGGGATTACAGGCATGAGCTGTGGTACCCAGCTAGGATCAGAAATATTTAGACTATCGCTCTAGTCCTCTGCCTTAGCTATTGTATGACTTAATCTGAACTACTAGCTTTAAAGTCCACGAGTTCAAATTCTTGGGAGAAATAGTTGAATTGGTCACTGTCCAACCAATGGATTGGTTTTCCCTGATTCAGATGCCTGTAGAGGTTATGTATTACAATTATGGCTGCAGGAGACTATCTTTATAAGGGGAAATTCTCAGAAAACAAATATGTGGGGTTGGCAGGCATCCTAAATAATGTGTAGTAAGGTTTTTGCAATGTTGTCTTTCAGCCTAAGAACAATGTAGGTCTCTTCATTTATTCAAATCTTTTCTTAAGGCCTTTCATAGAGTTTTTAGTGAAACATTGTCTCTAAATATATATTTAGATATCTTATGCTTTTTGTTATTTTGGTTATTTTGAATAAAATCTTTTTTCCTAGTATATGTATCTGCATGATTGAATGGTTCTTATTTCTTTATATACAGCAATTAGTTTTCATATTTAATTTTAACCAACTACCTATTTATTTATTTATTTTAAATAAATAAATTTTGAGCTATTTTAAATAGCTCAAAGGCTTGCAGGCAGGCTGTTTATTTTTAATTTTTAATTTTTTTTTTTTTTTTTTTTAGTATTTATTGATCATTCTTGGGTGTTTCTCACAGAGGGGGATTTGGCAGGGTCATAGGACAATAGTGGAGGGAAGGTCAGCAGATAAACATGTGAACAAGGGTCTCTGGTTTTCCTAGGCAGAGGACCCTGCCGCCTTCCGCAGTGTTTGTGTCCCTGGGTACTTGAGATTAGGGAGTGGTGATGACTCTTAACGAGCGTGCTGCCTTCAAGCATCTGTTTAACAAAGCACATCTTGCACCGCCCTTAATCCATTTAACCCTGAGTTGACACAGCACATGTTTCAGAGAGCACGGGGTTGGGGGTAAGGTTATAGATTAACAGCATCCCAAGGCAGAAGAATTTTTCTTAGTACAGAACAAAATGGAGTCTCCTACGTCTACTTCTTTCTACACAGACACCGTAACATCTGATTTCTCTTTCTTTTCCCCACATTTCCCCCTTTTTCTGTTCGACAAAACCACCATCGTCATCATGGCCCGTTCTCAATGAGCTGTTGGGTACACCTCCCAGACGGGGTGGCGGCTGGGCAGAGGGGCTCCTCACTTCCCAGACGGGGCGGCTAGGCAGAGGCGCCCCCCATCTCCCGGACGGGGCAGCTGCCGGGCAGGGGCTGCCCCCTACCTCCCTCCCGGACGGGGCGGCTGGCCGGGCAGGGGCTGCCCCCCATCTCCTGGACAGGGCGGCTGCCGGGCAGAGACGCTCCTCACTTCCCGGACGGGGTGGCTGCTGGGCGGAGGGGCTCCTCACTTCCCAGATGAAGCGGCTGCCGGGCGGAGGGGCTCCTCACTTCTCAGACGGGGCGGCCGGGCAGAGACGCTCCTCACCTCCCAGACGGGGTGGTGGTCGGGCAGAGACACTCCTCAGTTCCCAGACGGAGTCGCGGCCAGGCAGAGGCGCGCCTCACATCCCAGACGGGGCGGCGGGGCAGAGGCGCTCCCCACATCTCAGACGACGGGCGGCCAGGCAGAGACGCTCCTCACTTCCCAGACGGGATGGCGGCTGGGAAGAGGCGCTCCTCACTTCCCAGACTGGGCGGCTGGGCAGAGGGGCTCCTCACATCCCAGACGATGGGCGGCCGGGCAGAGACGATCCTCACTTCCCAGACGGGGAGGCAGCCGGGAAGAGGCGCTCCTCACTTCCCAGACTGGGCGGCGGGGCAGAGGGGCTCCTCACATCCCAGACGATGGTTGGCCAGGCAGAGACGCTCCTCACTTCCCAGACGGGATCGCGGCCGGGAAGAGGCGCTCCTCATTTCCCAGACTGGGCGGTGGGGCAGAGGGGCTCCTCACATCCCAGACGATGGGCGGCCAGGCAGAGATGCTCCTCACTTCCCAGACGGGGTGGCGGCCGGGCAGAGGCTGCAATCTCGGCACTTTGGGAGGCCAAGGCAGGCGGCTGGGAGGTGGAGGTTGTAGTGAGCCGAGATCACGCCACTGCACTCCAGCCTGGGCAACATTGAGCACTGAGTTAGTGAGACTTCGTCTGCAATCCCGGCACCTCGGGAGGCCGAGGCGGGCAGATCACTCGCGGTCAGGAGCTGGAGACCAGTCCGGCCAACACGGGAAACCCCGTCTCCACCAAAAAATACAAAAACCAGTCAGGCGTGGCGGCGCGTGCCTGCAATCTCAGGCACTCGGCAGGCTGAGGCAGGAGAATCAGGCAGGGAGTTTGCAGTGAGCCGAGATGGCGGCAGCACAGTCCAGCCTCGGCTGGGCATCAGAGGGAGACCGTGGAGGGGGAGGGGGAGGGAGAGGGAGAGGGAGAGGGAGAGGGAGAGGATTTTTAATTTTTTTGTTTTTGAGATGGAGACTCACTCTGTCACCCTGGCTGGAGTGCAGTGGTGTGATCTCGGCTCACTGCAACCTTTGCCTCCTGGGTTCAAGGGATTCTCCTGCCTCAGCCTCCTGAGTAGCTGGGACTACAGGCACATGCCACCATGTCTGGCTAATTTTTTTGTATTCTTAGTAGAGACAGGGTTTCACTATGTTGATCAGGCTGGTCTTGAACTCCTGACCTCAAATGATTCACCTCCCTTGGCCTCCCAAAGTGCTGGGATTACACACGTGAGCCACTATGCCAGGCCAGCTTATTTTTAAGTTTTTAATTTTTATATATTTAGGAGTACAAGGACAGACTTCTTACATGCATATATGGCATACTGATAAAGTCTGGGCTTTTAGTGTACCCATCACCCGAAACCCCTATTTAATTTTCTGAATATTTCTGTTTATCAGTTGTATAGCGTCATGTTATCTGCAAATAAAAACAGTTTTGTCTTTTTTATAGTATGCAGCCCTATATTTTATTCTATAAAAATATCAACATATTTATTATAGTCAGTAAGAAACCAGTACATTTATTTTCATTTTGTAAACAAGGAAAAGGACAGAACTATTTTGCTACCTTTTGGCAGGTCTAAAGAAAGTGTGAAACAAGATATTGAATTTCTTGTTGAACTTAACTGGAAATAATTTGGCCTACCAACAAAACTGCCATCCATCCTTCCATCCATCCACCCATTGAATCAATGTTTACTTTGTGCCTCTTCCATGCTGTTGATCCTTGTGGATACAATAAGAAAGACACAGTCCCTGACCTTAAAGATTTGTCAGTGTTTTTAGCCATTGGCCATACTGAAATCTTCATGTTTCTCAAGATTTTCAATTTGCCTTTGCAGCTCAGGGAGCCAATGGTACTCTGGAGAACCCAGCCCTGGACACAAGTCTGTTGGAGGAATTTCTGGGCAATGACTTTGATTTGGGGGCCTTGTAAGTAATGAGAGCACTGCTCTCTAGTTGATGTTTAAAATATTATGAAATGATTAAATGAGCTAAGAAGTGTTCCCTCCTCTTCTGTTTTCCAAAATAACTTGGGTAGAGTTGACATTATTATGTCTATGGATCTTTGACAAATATCACCACTGCAGAATTTTCTTTGTGAGAAATTCCAGTCATTCCTCACCTCCACCCGCAAATTCAGTATATTTAATAGATATGGAGCTATTCAGGTTATCTATTGATAGTAATCAGCTTAGGCAGTTTGTGTCTTTCAATGAATTTGTCCATTTCAACTAAGTTGTCAAATTCATCAGCATAAAGTTCTTCGTATTCACTTATACTTTTAATGTCTGTAGGATCTATAGTGATGATTCATTTGTTGTTCTTGATGTCAGTAACTTGTCTTTTTTTTTTTCTTGGTTAATCTGACATGAAGTTTATCAGTTTTTTTAATCTCTCAAAGTACCAGCTTTTGGTTAAAGTTAAAATTCTTACTTTTTGTTTTCTATTTCATTGATTTCTGCTCTTATTTTCTGGTATTAATATAGGCACTCTGGCCTTTTTTATTTTTAATTTACATCTACTGAAGTTCAAATTTTTGTATAAATTTCTGAGTTTTGACAAGTTCATAGTAATATAACCACTACCATTATCATAACACACAACACTGAAAAATTTCCCTATGCCGTTCATTTGTGATCAGACTCACCATCTACACTGTCCCCTGGTAACCACTGGTCTGTTTTTTGTTGCTATGGTTTTGATTTATTTCAGAATGTGACATAAATGAAACCATACAGTATATAACACTTTCAGTCTGCCTCCTTTCATTTAGCATAATGTCTTTGATCAATATTTCATTCCTTCTTTGTTACAGAGAAAGATACCTTTAAGTGATTATAACAGCTTGTTTAGCCATTTATCTGTTCAAGGACATTTGAATTATTTCCAGTTTTGGCAATTGTAAATCATGCTTCTATAAATATTTATGTATGGGTTTTTGTGTGATCAATAGTTTAAATTTCTCTATGATAAATACTTAGGATAAGAACTGCTGGATCATGTTGTAAATGTAAGTTTAACTGTAAAAATATCCACATTTTTAGAGTGGTGGTACCACTTTGTGTTGTTAGCAATGCATGAGATATCCAATTGCTTCTCTTCATTGCCAATTCTTGGGTATTATGAGTTTAAAATTGTTTTTATTATAGCCATTCTAATTGGTTTGTAATGACATACCATGTATTAATGTGCATTTTTCTAATAACTAATGATGTTGAACATCATTTCATGTACTAGTTCACCATTTATACATTTTCTTTGGTGAAGTGTTAATTCAAATCTTTTGCCCATTTTTAAAAATTGAGTTTGTTTTCTTTAAGTTTAGAAAAATTTTTAGATATTCTGGATATAAAAAGTTTGTTAGATATGTTATTCATGAATATTTTCTCCAAGTTTGTCGTTTATGTTTTTATAATCTTAACAGTGTTTTTCTCAGAGCAAAAGTTTTAATTTTGATGATGTCCAATTTATTGAATTTTTCTTATATGACTTACGGTTTATAGCTAAGAAGTATAGACTTTACCTAATCCAAGTTCCCAAAGATTTTCTTTTAAAAGTTTTATAGTTTTATATTTAGGTCTATGATCCATTTTGATTTTTTTTTGTAAAAGGCTTGAGATACAGATTTATATTAGTTTCTTTGTATGTGGATGTCCAATTATCCTGGAATCATTTGTTAAATAACTTTCTTTCATTAAATTACCTTTGCACAGTTGTAAAAAATCAATTGACAAAATATATGTGGGTCTATTTCTAGACTCTTCATTCCTTTCCATTGATCTACGTGCCTATCATTTTGCCAACACAACATTATCTTGATTACTGTACATGATCTTTATTACTGTACACAGGCACTTTATTATAAGCCTTAAAATAATATAGTGTAAGTCCTCTGAATTTTTCTTCTGTTTCAATATTGTCTTGGTTATTCTAGTTTCTTTGACTTCCCACATAAACACTAGAATTAGCTTGTCAATATTTAAACAATTCTTCTGGGATTTTGATTAAAATTTTATTAAACCTAGTGATCTATCTAAGGAGACTTAACATTCTAACAAAATTGAGCCTTCCAATCTATGAACATGGTATATCTATTTATTGAGGGCTTCTTTGATTTCTTTCATCAGTGTTTTATAGTTTTCAACATAAAAATACTGCACATATTTTCCTAAATATTTCATGTTCTTCTTTGAACATCATGGTTTTTTTTCAATTTTTAGTTCCAATTATTCATCATTAGTATATGGAAATATTGATTTTCATATATTGGGTTTGTAATCTTAATTAAGTCATTTATTAGTTCTAATAACTTTTTAAAATATATATTTCTTGGGATATTCTATGTTGAAGGTCATGTCATCTGCAAATTGAGACAGTTGTATGTCTTTCTTTTCAAACTGTATATCTTTTGATACTTTCTTGCCTTGCTGAAGTAGGTAAGACCTGGGTATAGTATTGAATAAAGAAATAGTGAGACTAGACATATTTGCCTTGTCCATGACCTTGGAGGGGAAGCATTTAGTTTTTATCATTAAGTGTAATGTTAGTGATACTTTTTTTTTAACCATGCCCTTTATTTGCTTAAGGAGGTTCTCTTCCACTGTTAGTTTGCTGATAATTTTTATCATAAATGGATGTTGAATTTTGTCAATTTTTTTCTGTATTTATTGATTATATGTTTTTTCTTCCCATCTGTTAATATAATGGATTACTTTGCTTAGTTTTTGATTATTGAACTGCCTTGTATTCCTGGAATAAATCTCAGTTAATTGTGATATGTTATCTTTTGATACAATGCTGGATTCAATTTGGTAAAATTTTGTTGAGCATTTTGCATCTATGTTTATGAGAATATTGATCACAGTTTTGTTTTTTTATATTTTATTTTTTCTGGGTTTGGTATCACAGCAACTATACCCTTCTAAAATTCGTTGGGAAATTCCCTCACTTAAATTCTCTGGATGAGATAGTGTAGAATTGGATTTATTTCTTGCTTAAATGTTTGGTAGCATTAATCAGCAAAATAATCTGTTCCTTTGCTTTGTTGGAGGGTCTTAAATACAAATTTAATTTATTTAGTAGATTCAGGGCTATTTATGGTATCTCATTCTACTTAAGTGAGTTAGCTTGTTTTACTTTTTTCCCAAGGAATTGATCAATGTTATCTAAGTTGTTAAATTTATGGCCATAGAGTTATTCATAGTATTTTTTATTAACCTTTTAATCTCTAAAGAGTCTGTAGTGATATTCCCTCTTTTGTTCTTCATATTGGTAGTTTGTTTCTTTTTTTCTTTTCTCCTTAATCAATGTGGACGTTTATCAATTTTATTGATTGATTCAAATAGGTAGCTTTTGATGTCATTGATTTTCTCTATTATGTTTGTTTTCAATTTCACTGACTTCTACTCTTATCTTTATTATTTTGTTCCTTATGCTTAATTTGGGTTTAGTTTGCTCTTATTTTTCTAGTTCTTTAGAGTGGAAAGTGAGTTTGTGATTTGAGGTTAAACTTTGTTTTCTGATTTAAGCATTCAATGCTGTACATTTCCCTCTGTATGTGGCTTTAGCTGCCTCACTCAGTTTTTGATATACTATATATATATATTTTTTTCAGTTCAAAATACTTTCAAATTTCTTTTGAGAAATTTTATTTGACTTTCTTTGACTCATGGGTTGCTGGAAATGTATTATGTAACTTCCAAACGTTTGGAAATTTTCCATATATTTTTCTGTGACTGGTTTCTAGTTTAATTCCATTATGAACAGAGAACATCCTTTGTATGATTTCAAATTTTGTTAAGGTTTGCTTTATGACCCAGAATATGATCTATCTTGGTGAATGTTACGTATGCACTTGGAAGAATGCTCACTGTGCTGTTGTTGGATAGTATTCTATAAATATCAGTTAGGTCAAGTTGGTTGACATTCTTGTTCAGGTCTTCTATATCCTTGCTGATTGCTTTCTACTAATTTTATCTACGACAGTGACAGAAATGTTGAAGTCTTCAAGTGTGATTGTGGATGTTTCTACTTCTCCATCAGTTCTATTGGATTTTGTGAAAACATAATTGTATTGAATTGAAAAGTTATGTGGTTAAGTGCAAACACATTTAGTACTGTTTTGTCTTTCTGGTGAACTTAGTCTTTTATCAGAGTGATGTTCCTTTTTATCTCCTTTTTCTTTTCTCAAAAGAAGACATTTATGCAGCCAAAAAACACATGAAAAAATGCTCATCATCACTGGCCATCAGAGAAATGCAAATCAAAACCACAATGAGATACCATCTCACACCAGTTAGAATGGCAATCATTAAAAAGTCAGGAAACAACAGGTGCTGGAGAGGATGTGGAGAAACAGGAACACTTTTACACTGTTGGTAGGAACGTAAACTAGTTCATCCATTGTGGAAGTCAGTGTGGCAATTCCTCAGGCATCTAGGAAGTCTATTTGGTCCAATATTAATCTAGCCACTGCAGCTCTCTTTTTTTTTCTTTTCTTCAACTTTTATTTTAAGTTCAGAGGTACATATGCAGGATGTACAGACTTGTTACATAGATAAACGTGTGCCTAGGTGGTTTGCTGCAAGGATCATCCCATCACCTAGGTATTCAGCCCAGCATCCATTAGCTATTCTTCCTGATGCTCTCCATCTGCCCCCAACACCTGGGCCCCCCAACAGGCTCCAGTGTATGTTGTTCCCCCTTGTGTTCATGTGTTCTCATAATTCAGCTCCCACTTATAAGTGAGAATATGTGGTGTTTGGTTTTCCATTTCTGCATTAGTTTGCTGAGGATAATGACTTCCAACTCCATCCATGTCCCTGCAAAGGACATGATCTCATTCCTTTTTATGGTTTTATAGTATTCCATGGTGTATATTACCACACTTTCTTTATCCATTCTATCATTGATGGACATTTAGGTTGATTCCATGTTTTTGCTATTGTGAATAGTTTCGGCTCTCTTTTGATTAGTGTTTTTGTTATATATCTTTTGCCATCCTTTAATTGTAACCTATATATATCAAATTAGTTTTTTTATTCAGCGTATCATTGGGTATTTTTCCCTATCTAATTGGACAATTTCTGTCTCAACTTAGACAATTTATATTTAAATTAATTATTGATATGTTTGGATTTGAGTCTATCTTTTTCTTTTAAAAAATGTTCATCCCCTCTGCTTCTTGTACTTCTTTTCCCCCTTTCCTGCCCTCTTTTAAATTGTTTGAAGATTTTTAGTATTCCATCTTAATATATTGATTGCCTTTTAAACTCTTCATATAGATTTATTTTCTTTTTTTATTTTATTATTGTTATACTTTAAGTTTTAGGGCACATGTGCACAATGTGCAGGTTAGTTACATATGTATACATGTGCCATGCTGGTGTGCTGCCCCCATTAACTCATCATTTAGCATTAGGTATATCTCCTAAAGCTATCCCTCCCCCCTCCCCCCTCCCCCCACCCCACAACAGTCCCCAGAGTGTGATGTTCCCCTTCCTGTGTCCATGTGTTCTCATTGTTCAGTTCCCACCTATGAGCGAGAATATGCAGTGTTTGGTTTTTTGTTCTTGCGATAGTTTACTGAGAATGATGATTTCCAATTTCATCCATGTCCCTACAAAGGACATGAACTCATCATTTTTTATGGCTGCATAGTATTCCATGGTGTATATGTGCCACATTTTCTTAATCCAGTCTATCATTGTTGGACATTTGGGTTGGTTCCAAGTCTTTGCTATTGCGAATAGTGCCGCAATAAACATACATGTGCATGTGTCTTTATAGCAGCATGATTTATAGTCCTTTGGGTATATACCCAGTAATGGGATGGCTGGGTCAAATGGTATTTCTAGTTCTAGATCCCTGAGGAATTGCCACACTGACTTCCACAATGGATGAACTAGTTTACATTCCTACCAACAGTGTAAAAGTGTTCCTGTTTCTCCACATCCTCTCCAGCATCTGTTGTTTCCTGACTTTTTAATGATTGCCATTCTAACTGGTGTGAGATGGTATCTCATTGTGGTTTTGATTTGCACTTCTCTGATGGCCAGTGATGATGAGCATTTTTTCATGTGTGTTTTGGCTGCATAAATGTCTTCTTCTGAGAAGTGTCTGTTCGTGTCCTTTGCCCACTTTTTGATGGGGTTGTTTGTTTTTTTCTTGTAAATTTGTTTGAGTTCATTGTAGATTCTGGATATTAGCCCTTTGTCAGATGAATAGGTTGTGAAAATTTTCTCCCATTTTGTAGGTTGCCTGTTCACTCTGATGGTAGTTTCTTTTGCTGTGCAGAAGCTCTTTAGTTTAATTAGATCCCATTTGTCAATTTTGGCTTTTGTTGCCATTGCTTTTGGTGTTTTAGACATGAAGTCCTTGCCCATGCCTATGTCCTGAATGGTAATGCCTAGGTTTTCTTCTAGGGTTTTTATGGTTTTAGGTCTAACATGTAAGTCTTTAATCCATCTTGAATTAATTTTTGTATAAGGTATAAGGAAGGGATCCAGTTTCAGCTTTCTACATATGGCTAGCCAGTTTTCCCAGCACCATTTATTAAATAGGGAATCCTTTCCCCATTGCTTGTTTTTGTCAGGTTTGTCAAAGATCAGATAGTTGTAGATATGCGGCATTATTTCTGAGGGCTCTGTTCTGTTCCATTGATCTATATCTCTGTTTTGGTACCAGTACCATGCTGTTTTGGTTACTGTAGCCTTGTAGTATAGTTTGAAGTCAGGTAGCATGATGCCTCCAGCTTTGTTCTTTTGGCTTAGGATTGACTTGGCAATGCAGGCTCTTTTTTGGTTCCATATGAACTTTAAAGTAGTTTTTTCCAATTCTGTGAAGAAAGTCATTGGTAGCTTGATGGGGATGGCATTGAATCTATAAATTACCTTGGGCAGTATGGCCATTTTCACAATATTGATTCTTCCTACCCATGAGCATGAAATGTTCTTCCATTTGTTTGTAACCTCTTTTATTTCATTGAGCAGTGGTTTGTAGTTCTCCTTGAAGAGGTCCTTCACATCCCTTGTAAGTTGGATTCCTAGGTATTTTATTCTCTTTGAAGCAATTGTGAATGGGAGTTCACTCATGATTTGGCTCTCCGTTTGTCTGTTGTTGGTGTATAAGAATGCTTGTGATTTTTGTACATTGATTTTGTATCCTGAGACTTTGCTGAAGTTGCTTATCAGCTTAAGGAGATTTTGGGCTGAGACAATGGGGTTTTCTAGATATACAATCATGTCATCTGCAAACAGGGACAATCTGACTTCCTCTTTTCCTAATTGAATACCCTTTATTTCCTTCTCCTGCCTGATTGCCCTGGCCAGAACTTCCAACACTACGTTGAATAGGAGTGGTGAGAGAGGGCCTCCCTGTCTTGTGCCAGTTTTCAAAGGGAATGCTTCCAGTTTTTGCCCATTCAGTATGATATTGGCTGTGGGTTTGTCATAGATAGCTGTTATTATTTTGAGATAGGTCCCATCAATACCTAATTTATTGAGAGTTTTTAGCATGAAGGGTTGTTGAATTTTGTCAAAGGCCTTTTCTGCATCTATTGAGATAATCATGTGGTTTTTGTCTTTGGTTCTGTTTATATGCTGGATTACATTTATTGATTTGCATATATTGAACCAGCCTTGCATCCCAGGGATGAAGCCCACTTGATCATGGTGGATAAGCTTTTTGATGTGCTGCTGGATTCGGTTTGCCAGTATTTTATTGAGGATTTTTGCATCAGTGTTCATCAAGGATATTGGTCTAAAATTCTCTTTTTTGGTTGTGTCTCTGCCCGGCGTTGGTATCAGGATGATGCTGGCCTCATAAAATGTGTTAGGGAGGGTTCCCTCTTTTTCTATTGATTGGAATAGTTTCAGAAGGAATGGTACCGGTTCCTCCTTGTACCTCTGGTAGAATTCGGCTGTGAATCCATCTGGTCCTGGACTCTTTTTGGTTGGTAAGCTATTGATTATTGCCGCAATTTCAGAGCCTGTTATTGATCTATTCAGAAATTTATTTTCAGTGGTAACTCGAGGGACAACAATCTACATACCTAACCTCTTGCAGTCAATTTAAAGATATTTTACCACTTCACATGAAAAGTAGAAACCTTATAGCCATAAAAGTCCCATTTCTCTTTCCCTTTTATATTGTAGCTATCATGTGTATTGCATCTATATATATTTAAAACTCTATGAGACAATGCTATAATCTTTGGTTTCAACACTCATGTATATGTTGAGGAACTTAAGAGAGAAAAAGTAGGCTATTACATTGACCCAAGCATTTCCCATTTTTGTTGGTCTTCTTCATTTGGGAAGTTCCACAATTCTTTCTGGCATCATTCTTCTTCCACCTTAGGAACTCCCTTTAGAATTTCATTTAGAGCAGATTTGTTGGTGATAGATTTTCTTAGTTTTCTTCCACTGAAAATGTCTTTATTTCAACTTCATTTTTAAAAGACATTTTTGCTGAATATGAAATACTTGGTCATTAGAGTTTTTTCCTCCCACAGCATTTAAAAAATGTTGACCCACTGCCTTCTAGCCTCCATGGTTTCTGATGAAAAATAAACAGCTATTTGAATCATTGTTCCCTTGTATGTAATACATCATTTTTCTCCATCTGCAAGATATTTTCTTTATCTTTGGTATTCAGCAGTTTGATTATATGTTTCTAGGTATGAGCCTTTTTTTATATTGTACTGTTTGGGATTTGCTCAAATTCGAATCTGTAAATGTATAGTTTTGACCACATCTGGGAAATTTGTAGCCATTGTTTTTTAACATTTATTTTTCTTTACCAGTGTCTTTCTTTTTCCCTTCTAGAACTCCAAGAATGCAAATGTTAGACCTTTGATATTTTGCACAGGTCACTGAGGCTCAGTTCATTTTTTTTTCAATCTTTTTTCTCTCTGTTGGTTATATTGGATAATTTCTATTGATTTGACTTTAAGTTCACTGACTCTCCTCTGTCACTGTCATCTCCATTCTGTTATTGAGCCCACCTCAGCATACCTGCAAATACCCCTACCCTCCTAAGACAGAGAGTGAAACCAGGCCTGAATCCTCAATAGTAGTGGAGAAACCTGTATGCAGATATTTCTGGTACCTGGCTCTTATTACTCTCTGCCAAGAGAAACTTCCTTGGCAACAAACTGTGGGAAGAAGGTGAGTTCAACATTTTTCAAGGAAGTTACACACACACACACACACACACACACACACACAAACACACACACACACACACAGAGCTAGTAGGTTGCCAAATGTCTGAGCCCACACTCTGAGCTGGCTGTTCTGTGCTAGGCGCTGCATGGGCTGAACTCAGATCCTAATTGCCCCTGTGCCTGCCCTCACATTCCTCTCACTACATCCCAGTAACTTGTATGAATTGTGGACAATGGATATATCCTTTTCTCTGACCTGGAAGCAACCTGCCAAAAGTTGTATGGTCTCTCTCCTCTTAAGTGTCTTCTCCTAAAGCGAATGTTCCGCTGATTCCACCTGGGTTCTGTATAATCATCTAGACTACTTTTTATAACTAACAGAAAGACCTTTAGCTGTTTAGAAGGAAAAGTGAACAAAGGTCTTCATCAAAGAGCTGTCTTTTACAGGGATGGAAATGTGTGATACCATTCCTTGTCCATCATAATGGTCACAACCAACACTCCTATAACAAAAGACAGGCTAACAAGAGAAAAGCATAAACAATTTACTTAATTAAAGTTTTATGTGATGCAGGAGTCTTCAGAAATGAAACCCAGAGACTCAGGGAAAACTATTTTTATTTTTATGCTTGGGTTCAATGAGGAGTGAACAGCTGTGTAGAAATGTAAGTGGACAAAAGGGTGTGATCTAATGGTAATAGACTGAGGGAGGAAACCCAGCAGGGTCTGTTCAGATTTTTCTTGGCTTCTCTTTGTAGCATTGCTTCTTCCAAGGTATGAGGTAGGGTCTCTTTGGAATGAGAGTCCCCTTGGAATGAGACAGAAGGGAGAGAGTGACTTTTCTGGGTTTTATGGCTCGCTTTATGGGGAGGAGTTCTAGTATCTATGAACCATCTTGGGGAAGAAGAATTATGGTTTCTGTGATTTGCTCTGAGGGAGAAAAGGGGGTGAGAGACAGGAGGACAGGGGAAGGTCAGAGATACCTTGCTTCTGAGGTCCTTCCAGTGTCCTTCATTTCAAAGTACTCAGCATGCCAAGGCACCATACTTTGGGGTATTGTGTTCTGAGCTACCTGGGAGGTCTGAAATCTGCCTTATATTTTAGTCTCCGTGATAATAATGGTCCTTCCTACCAGACCAGAAATATCTACCCATAGGCTTCCCCCTTGCTATTGAGATTCAGGACTGGTTTGCCCAAGAGGCTTCACTCTCTACCTTTGAGGTGGGTGATGGGGCTTGCAGGTGAAGTAGAAGAGGAAGTTACTATTGCTGAGCATTTACTAAGTGTTGGGCATTCTTTGCACTTCATATATTCACTTATTTAATTATATATTTGATGTAATATATCTCGTTCTCTTAACTCTTCCAAATAGGTATATTATCTGTGTTTTACAGATGGGGAGGATAAGGTGCAGAGAGGTTAAGTAACTCTTCATAGGTCAATACGTGGCAAAGCTGAGATAAAAATCTGCCTGGCTCTAGAAACATGCCTTTTCTTCCACATGAAGCTTTTAGGTTAATTGATATTTTAAAGGAATGTGAATCTCAGGGAAATACATGAAATGTGTCTAAAATTATCTACCAAATGGTGTGACTCAGAGTAGATCCGAGCCATAGTTCATAAAGATTGTCAGAGTTCACGTTCATTAAAGGAGAGCCCTATGATCAGATAACCTATACTTGATTAAAAAAATGCTCAGATGCATGCAGTTAAGTGGAACTGCAATAAAATCTCAGTGAGAACAAGCAGAAACATGGCTAGTCCATGACCGCAGGGACACTGGGCTAGTTCAATGATCATTAGATCTGTACAACCTGTTCAAATACTCCAAGTTTTAAGTATTTCTAAATACCAGGGTATTTATGCAGGTTAGTTTCATTTCATAGTTTCATATCACAACAGCACTGGGATGCAGGGTTTTTGTTTTGTTTTGTTTTGTTTTTGCCTGGGTACTAGAGGTGGGATTCAGACCTGGGTTTACTACAAATCATGTTACTTCCCCTCTACCATATTGCCTACAATGTGTGTCTTCTAAAGATATCAGTGTCAACCCTTTATCTCAAAAACCTAAGAGACCACTGGGCTGCAAAATTTCTGAGAGCTAGCTGAAATCTCATAGGCAGATTTTCAGATCTTAAATATATTAAAACATTGCATTATTGGCCTTATGAAAAAGGACCAAATGCTCTATAAAAAACTTGTCCCATTAGATGCTGTGAGGAAAAATGTTCCATGGTCAGTAAATTAGCTTGTGACTCACTGGCTTAAACAAAATTACATGAGTGTTTTTACTGCAGGACTTCTCAGTGCCTTTAATGTGCTAATGTGCAACTAGGTAAGAGAAACGGAATGAAGTGTTCCTCAAACTTATTTGGCCGTGGGCCCCATTTGGGACGCATTATTCATGTATGAACATGTATAAGGCATGTATGCAGAGCTGAGGGCCGTCCTGTCAACATGTGAAGGTTTGTGTAAATTGCCCTTAACTCTTTATTTCCTTATGTGGTAGAGTTTGGGTTAGTTGTCTGCTTAGGAGGAGCAGGCTGAGGTCCTCTCTGATTTCCTAGGTTAGCCAGACAGTTACCCACTTGGTACACAGTTGAGCTACGGTGGTGGGACATACTAGGAAATGTCCAGGTATGCAATGCTGCTTTGAGAGGGGGAGATTGGAGAGACTTAGGGGAAGAATAAAACCCTGAAACTGCAATGAAAAAGGGCAAGAAGTGTTATATGCACGTGTGTGCAGGGAAGGTAAGGGTCTAGAAAAGAGACTAGTAAATCTTCAAGGCAGGCTAAATTAATGCAGTTTGGTTTGAGTCAGTGTGCTTAGTAGGGGTAGATAAAATGAGCTTTAGCCTTTGAGATCTGGTATAAGGGTAGGAGGGAACTAGCTGAGGACACTGGTGTTTGAATAGGGGACGTCACAGGAGGGGAAACTTAGAGACATGTTATATCTGTGAAGGAATCAACGGCAGGCTTCATTTTATTTCGTTCTAATGTTTGAGCTTAAGCATCTAATATTATGGGTTTAACTTAGGACTTGGCTTATTGGGTTTGGGTGGCAAGATGAATTAGGAGTCAATTACCAGCTGCATGTCTTGGTTCTGCCATCACTATAGTGGGGTTGATAAGCTCTACTGTGATGTTTCAAAAGGGCGTGAGAGAGTACGTGGAGTTCTGTGAGAAGAGCTTGTTAAAGACTATTTGAGTTCAGTGACTGGTTTGACTTCTGAGTTCAAACTGATATAATAAGAGAAAGCCTGAAGAAGAAGACTGGGCTAAAACATTATCTGATACTCCTTGATTCTAAGGATATCTGTGCCAGATGAAACGACCTATAATAATAAGTAATTTTATTAGAATGGTCTGTATTTAAAATACCCTGTTATTTAGAGGATAAACTCTGGTGGTAGACCATCTGACTCCAGCTCGACTAACTGCCAGATGATAATCATGAGTGAATTATTTAACCCCATCAAGCCTCGGTTTCTTTTTTTTTTCTTTTTTTTTTTTTTTGAGACGGAGTCTCGCTCTGTTGCCCAGTCTGGAGTGCAGTGGCACAATCTTGGCTCACTGCAGCCTCCACCTGCCAGGTTCAAGCAATTCTCCTGCCTCAGCCTCCCGAGTAGCTGGGACTACAGGTTTGCGTCGCCATGCCTGGCTAATTTTTTTGTATTTTTTTTTTTAGTAGAGATGGGGTTTCACCATGCTGGCCAGGCTGGTCTCAAACTCCTGACCTTGTGATCCACCCGCCTCGGCCTCCCAAAGTGCTGGGATTACGGGCATGAGCCACCGCGCCAGACCAAACCTCAGTTTCATTGCCTGAGGATTAAGTACAATGATGGTACCTTTTCATATGAGAGTTGTGGAGGTTAAATGAGACACACATGCAAAGGGTTAGCATGGTGCCTGGCTCAGAGTAGGTTCTCAAAAAAGTTTCTCTACATCTAAAGCAGCAGCGGAGGGGTGTGAAAGGGTCAGATCCTTGCAGTCTGCCAGCACAGAGCTGGAGGGGAGGAGTGGCATCTTCTTTGCCTTGTTTTTTGCTGCCATATCATGAAATGGTTTTCTTGGGCAACCATACTCATTGACAACATTTCTGCCAAAACCCTTTCCTGTATCAACTTCTAGATGGTGGTTACAAGCCCTAACTGACCTTGATCAAGTATTTATTGAGTGCCTGTCACAGTCTCCCCATTGGAGCACTATGGAGTGCACATGTACACACACATGCACAGCATGCACACATGTGCACACACACGCGCACACACATGCACTCACACACACGTACGCACACGCGCACACACACATGTACTCACACGTACACACAGATATGCACTCACACATGCCCACATGTGCGTGCACACATGCACTCACACATGCACACACACATGCACACACATACACTCACACACAGAGTAGGAAGACATATTCTTAATGTGAAAGTTCATGCGGAAAGATAAATCATATACATGAAAAATTGGAGGAAATACTTTAAATAACAACCATTTTTATAGTTGGAGGATGGGGTAAAACAGTGAACAAAACAGATATAATCCCTGCCAGTAGCTCCCCAAGGGCAGTGTGGTGGGTACAGTCTGCCCTGGCAGGGCACCCAGGCATTTTTCTTAGAATTGGTGATGCATGGTGATAATAAAAAGCAGACTGACTCTTTGTAGGCTTAGTATTGTTTTCAAATTGTCTACAGACAATGCATTTCCTTATTGCCTGCACCTGGGGTGAGCAATTCCCATCCCCTCATCCTTGGCACACCATTACTGTCATGCCACTCCGGTGGGAAGAAAAAGACAATGGCAGGTAGTCTAAAGTCACTCAGTAAGATGAAGACAAATAAGAGTAAGGCAAGGAGGAGAGGCTACCATTTTAGATTGGGTGGTCAGGAAAGCTCTCTCCTGATATATGGATTTATATATACGGCATATTCATGGTCATATGTAGTTTAACACAGTCTTTCGTATTTGTTATGCACCAACTCTGTATTGGGCACTGTGCTGAGCCGAGCTCAGTGTGAGGTGCAATAGAGCTTTAGAGAAGGGGCGGTTGGTGTTGTATGAAGGCACCGAGGGATTCATTGGAGAAAACTAGGATTGGATGGCTCAATTGTGAGTATCCCACCTAGATATTCACATGAAGACACACTGTGTATGTGTCTTGCCTAATGTCTGGTAGAGTCATGAGCACAGTAGGCACTCAGTAAAGACTTAGTAAGCCTGGTTGCAATATGAAAGAAATACTGGCTGCATTGAGGGCAGCATATATGTCATGGATGTACATATCACCTCAACTAGCTGGAGGGCAAAGTCTATTTTGTACGCCCTCTTTTGGTTCACATAGATTCAACCCCTGGGAGATTGTTTCTCCGTTCATCCTCCAAAAGACAAAAAACAAGTTGTATGTCTGAGAGGAAGGAGTTTAGAAGGCAAATTATTTTATTTTTATCAGCTGCTAAGAATCTCTTGATTTTTCTTCCTTTTTTTTTTTTTTTTTTTTTTTTTTTGGGACAGAGTCTCACTCTGTTGCCCAGGCTGGAGGGCAGTGTTGAGATCTCGGCTCACTGCAACCTCTGCCTCCTGGGTTCAAGCAAGCACGTCTGGCTAATTTTTTTTTTTTTTTTTTTTTGGTATCTTTAGTGAAGACAGGGTTTTGCCATGTTGGCCAGGCTGGTCTTAAACTCCTGACCTCAGGTGATCCACCCGCCTCGGCCTCCCGAATCTCTTGATTTTTACAACTCTTTCCTGCTGAAGCTAGAGACAGGGTTGGCCGCTCAGGGTATGACCCATAGTGTCTGTTGCTCTCTGGTGTTTGTCTGCTTTATGGAAATCCTTTTGGTATAATAGACAAGTTTGGCGCACAAAGACTGAAACACAGTCTGATGTGCATTTCTGGGATTCTTGACATGACGATTGTGAGTAAAAGGGGCTAAGAAGTGAAGAAAAAATACCAAACAAGTGTTTTACTAGGAGCTAATCATTGCTCTTGTTTTAACAATTTGGTCAGTTTGAAGGTAGCTATCATTAATTCTCCCTTCAAATTCTCTGAAAAGAAGTGCAAAATTTCTCTAACTGTATTTAAATGCATTGAGCATGGAAGCATATAAAATACAATGAAATAAAGGAGTAGCTGTGGTGAATTTTGGAAGGGGAAGGAACTCTAAAGACAGCATTTAATATTTTAAAATCTTCATCTTAAAACCACCAACACATATTCCTGTCACTCAACGCAGGGACTTTTGGTTCTCGTTAAGGGACTGCTGGATGGAGACTGCATTCCTGTTTACAATATGCCAAGCCATATTTTTTTTAGTAGATTGATCATTTAATTGTGATTTTCAGTTTTTATTACATTATTGAATTCAATGATGCCTGTAGTGTCAGGGTAACTAAACAACTGCCTAGAGCCTTAAATGTGGAATTATGAGATCACAGAGTCAGTTACAAAATTTAATTTATAGACCTAGAGTGATACATGTGAAGAATTTAAGAAGTCAAATGATACTGTATATAGCATATAATAGGAGATTACCAGCAATCCCCCTGCTCTACCCCTGTCTTTAAATTGGCTCCCCCAGAGGCAGCCACTTTCCAACTCTTTTTGGATATTTCTTTTTTTTTTTTTTTTTTTGAGATGGAGTCTTGCTCTGTCGCCCAGGCTGGAGTGCAGTGGCACAATCTTGGCTCACTGCAAGCTCCGCCTCCCGGGTTCACGCCATTCTGCCTCAGCCTCCCGAGTAGCTGGAACTACAGGCACCTACCACCATGCCCGGCTAATTTTTGTATTTTTTTTTAGTAGAGACAGGATTTCACCGTGTTAGCCGGGATGGTCTTGATTTCTTGACCTCGTGATCCACCCACCTTGGCCTCCCAAAGTGCTGGGATTACAGGCGTGGGCCACCGCGCCTGGCCCTCTTTTTGGATATTTTTATTGCCCTATATCTAAATAATGTTTTTATATTGCTTTTTTGCTGTATACACTTGAAGAACATAATATAATCTTCTGGGAAGATTTAATTTTCTTATATCACATCTTACATTCACTTCTACACTCAGCTTCCCAATATCATAAAATTGTCTAAAATTTTTTAGTTATGTCAATATCCAGGGCTTACATTATCATGATGTGTCACATATAATTTTCATTTTTTTTTGCTTTGTTTGAATCATTGCCTTGTTTTTACAATTTG
Organism: Homo sapiens; assembly: GCF_000001405.40. Lineage (NCBI taxonomy): Eukaryota > Metazoa > Chordata > Mammalia > Primates > Hominidae > Homo > Homo sapiens. Next base: position 69,871,810 of record NC_000012.12, read on the forward strand.
TTTGGCTTTGGTTCCCTCAAGTTCTCTAAAAAGAGCTGAAAATTTTTCTCAATGTTAAAAATAATCAATTCTTTTCCTCGTCAATAAACTCCTCAATCCATGTATGTCTTTAGTGACTTTTTGGTTCTATCAACTTGTTCTCCCCATTGTGTTCTATCATCGATGAAAGAGGAATGTTAAAATATTTAGCTATGTGATTGTACAATTGTCTACATCTTTTAGTTTCATTAATTTTTGCTTTGCGTATTTTGAAACTCTGTTATTAAGTACATAAACAATCATGATTCCTATGCCTTCCTAAAAAATGACTCTTTTATTATTAGAAATGAGCCTCTTTGTCTGTGGTGGTACTCTTTATTTTGAAGTCAGTTTTAGCTATTATTCATGAAACTGCTTCACCCTTCTTGTACACATTTTTCTCTTGGTTAACTTTTGACTTATCTGTGTCTTTATATTTCAAGTGTTTTTGCAGGCAAAAGAGAGTTGCTTTTTAAAAATCCATTCTGATCATTTCTGCCCTTTTTCCCCCTTAGGGACAGGGTCTCACTTTGTCACCTAGGCTGAAGTGCAGTGGCATGATCACAGCTCATTGTAACCTCAAATTTCTGGGCTCAAGTGATCCTCCTGCCTCACCCTCCTGAATAGCTGGGACTATAGGTGTGCACAACCACACCTGGCTAATCTTAAATAAAAAAAATTTTTTTTTTTTGAGATGGAGTCTCGCTCTGTTGCCTAGGCTGGAGTGCGATGGCATGATCTCGGCTCACTGCAACCTTTGCCTCCTGAGGTCATACGATTCTCCTGCCTCAGCCTCGTGAGTAGCTGGGATTACAGGTGTGCGCCACTGTGCCCGGCTAATTTTTGTATTTTTAGTAGAGATGGGGTTTCACCATGTTGGCCAGGCTGGTCTTAGGCTCCTGACCTTGTGATCCACCTGCCTCGGCCTCCCAAAGTGCTGGGATTACGGGTGTGAGCCACCACGCCTGGCCTTTACATTTTGTTTTTAGAGACAGGGTCTCACTATGTTGCTGAAGCTGGTCTTGAATTCCTAACCTCAAGCAATCCTCCTGCCTCAGCGTCCCAAAGCACTGGAATTAGGTGAGCTACCGTGCCTGGCCTAATTTCTGCCTTTTAATGGGAGTGTTTAATCTTTTAACATCTAATGTAATTATTAGTATTGCACAATAGACCTCCTTATTCATGGAGGATATGTTGCAATACCTCTACTGGATGCCTGAAACTGAGGGTAGTACCAAACCCTATATATGCTATGCACAAATTTCTTTTTCTTTCTTTACAGTTTCATGAATAGAAGATTAATTCTTACAGTAGATCAGGGGTGTCCAATCTGTTGGCTTCCCTGGGCCACATCGGAAGAAGAAGAATTGTCTTTGGCCACATGTAAAATACACGAAGATTAATGATAGATGATGAGCTAAACCAAAAAAAAATCAGAAAAAAATCTCATAACGTTTTTTACAAGTTTACAAATTTGTGTTGGGCTGCATCCGTCCTGGGCTGCATGCAGCCCACGGGTGGCGGGTTGGACAAGCTTGCAGTAGATTCTAGCAATCTCAGCACACGATTTTTTTTTCTTTCCTTACTATGTCAAGAATTTTCAAATGTTCACTTAAAGGAAGTACTTTGTGGCTTCTCTTGGGCATATACAAATTGCCAACTTTACATGTCTTGTGTTTGGAACCATTATAAAGTAAAATAAAGGTTACTTGAACACAAGCAATGTGATATCGTGGCAGGAAATCCGTCTTTGTCTTAGGCTACTAAGACAATGGGTGGGTAGTGGATACAGTGTGGATATACTGGAAAAAGGGGATGATTCATGGTTTATGATTTCATCATGCTACTCAGAATGGAGTGCAATTTAAAACTTACAAATTATTTATTTCTGGAATTTTCCATTTAATATTTTTGGACCAAGGTTGATTGTGGGTAACTGAAACCTTAGAAAGTGAAACCATGGATAAGGGAGGACTATATCTGTAGTTAAGTCTGACATTTAATTATTTGTCTGTCTTTTTTTTTTTGGCCCCTTCTGTTTCTTATTCTTCTGTAACTCCTTTCTTGGTTTATTTTGTATTGTTTGAATAATTTTAGAATTTCATTTTATCTGTTGACTTTAGTTCTACTTCTTTGCATTATTTAACTTTTTACAGTTTACTTAGAGTTAATGAGTTAATATTGTACCACTTTACATAAAATGTAGAACCATCAACAATGTAGTTCCATTGATCTCCAACTCCCATCCCCTATGCTATAGCTGTCCTAAGTATTATACCTATGTGCATTATAAACTTCACAAAATCATAATTTTTACTTTAAGCACTCAAATGTATTTTATTTTGTTATTTTATTTTATTATTATTTTTGAAATAACTTCTCAGCCTGTTGCTCAGGCTAGGGAGCAGTGGCAACTCATGGCTCACTCAAGCCTCATTCTCCTGGGCTCAAGCGATCCTTCAGCCTCAGCTTCCTGAGTAGCTGGGAGCACAGGTGCATGCCACCACGCCCTGCTAATTTTAATATTTTTTGTAGAAACAGGGTCTTCCCATGTTGTCCAGGCTAGTCTTAAGCTCCTGGTCTTAAGCAACTCTTCTCCTTCGGCCTCCCAAAGTGCTGGGATTATAGGCATGAGCCACTGTGCCCACCTTCAGATGTATTTTTAAAAATTAAGATAAAAAATAATTTACATTCAATAATATATCATTTTTATTCTCTTCATACCTTTTCATAGTTTCAAATTTCCATCTAGAACCATTTCCCTTTAGCCTGAATAACTGTCTTTAACATTTCTTATTGTACATGTCTATTCTCAAATTCACTTAGTTTTCTTTTATCTCAAAATATCTTTATTTTGCTTTCATTCTTGAAGACTATTTTCATTGGATATCAAATTCTGGCTTACCAATTTTGTTTTTCTGTAGCACTTTAAAGATGTTTTTGTACTGTCTTCTGGCCTCTGGAGATTTTGATTAGTCAGTGATTATTTGAATCACTATGACCCTGCACATAAGGTACTGTTTTTCTTTAGCTACTTTTAAGACTTTCTCTTTATTTTTGGCTTACAGTTACTCCACTCTGATGCGGTAGATGTATTTATTTTGCTGAGCTTCTTAAAGATATAAATGTATGTATCTTTAAAGATATAAATGTATATATCTAAGATATATACATTTATATCTTTAAGAAGCTCAGCAAAATAAATACATCTACCACATCAGAGTGAAGTATATATCTTCATAAAGATATATACATTTATATCTTTTCCTAAATTTAGGAAGATTTTGGCTGTTATATCTTAATTTTTTTTTCTGTTTCATCCTCTCTGCAGGTTCATAAATCTCTTTTTCTCTCTCTTTTTTAAAGTTCATTTTTTTCCTCTCTGTTGTTTAGATGGGATGATGTCTATTGATGTATCTTTGAGTTCTGTTTTAAGCCCATCTAATAATTTTTTTAAATTTTTATTTCTGGAATTTTTCTAATCTTAGAATTTCTATTTAGTTTTTTTATTTGTAGTTTTGATTTCTTTGCTGAGATTTTATTTATTTTTTTTCACAAGCATGTGCTTGTCTGCTCCATTTAGCTTCTTATAGTAGCTGCTTTAAAGATCCTTGTCTGCTAATCCAGTATCTGGATCATTTCTGGGTTAGTGTTCACAGATTGTTCTCTCCCTCCAAGCTAGGCCACATTTTTCTGGTTCTTTGTAGAGAGCAGTTTTTCCAACCCCTGCCGGTGGACTGCTACGGGTCCATGGCCTGATAGGAACCTGGCTGCAAGAGCATTCCCGCCTGGGCTCTGCCTCCTGTCAGATCAGCAGCGGCATTAGAGCGGCATTAGGAGCGGGAACCCTGTTGTGAACTGCACAGGCGAGGGGGATCTAGATTGCATGTGCCTTATGAAAATCTAACTAACGCCTGATGATCTGAGATGGAGCAGTTTCATCCCGAAACCATCCCCCGCCCCCACTACGTCCATCTCTTCCATGAAATCAGTCTCTAGTGCCAAAAAGGTTGGGGATTGCTGTTGTAGAGTAGTTTTTGTACCTGGACATTGTGAATGGCTGGATTCTTTTACATCCCTCAGAAGAGTATACTTTTGTTTTAGTAGTCAATCACTTTGCTTAGACTCAAATTGTAAACTTTGTCTCGGGAAGTAACTCAAATTTCAGTTCAGTCCTGTTGTCTTTGGTTGGGCTGTGCGCAGTCTGCCCCATATATGATAGATCAGGAGTCAGCAATAGATTTGGCAGAGTTACACACAGAATCCAGGGGTCCCCTGCTCTTATCTTTCTTTTCCAAGATTCCTCTTTCACTTTTCAGCAGCTGTGTTTGCCCCAAAATTTGTTTTCTGGTTATTCAGGCCAGGAAGGCTGTGGATTTCTATCGGAGGTTAGCTGTCCTGTGGCTCTGACTTCAACCAGCCCTCAGACTAAATGCTGTAAACAAGAAACTCACTGTATGGCAGTACCTTCTCCAAGTTTCAGTGCCCACCACAATCTCCTTGCTTTTGTCTAGTTTCCAGTGTCTTTGGGTAGGTGGTGTTTTTTGTTTTGTTTTGTTTTTGTTTTTAAAGTATTTCCAGCATTTGTACTGTTTCTCTGTGGGAGGGTCAGATTTGGTAGGAGTTTAATCATCATATAAGAAGGGGGAAAAAAAAACGAAAAGAGCTCTTTGTGATTCTTTAGCATTCCCTATTTATCTGGTTTTGTTCTCTGTCTTTAATGTTAAAGCCTTTCTCAAAATGTCTGGTCCTTTATTGTTTGTTCGTGTTTAAAAAGTTCTGTGTGCAAACCATTGTTCTCATCCAAGGATGAATTTCTTGGTAGAGTGATGAAGGAGGGGATGGCTATTTCCTTGGTAACTTGAAAATACTACGTTTTCCTCGAGTACATTCCATTTTTCTTGGGAACATTATTCCAATTTCTTACTTGTGGGAAATCTGCTTGGATACATGCAAAACAGAGTTAAGGAAAAGACTCAGAATTCAGTGGTTAGATTTTTAATGAATTCTTCTATTTTTTCAGCCCAGTAGCTCAGCCACAGCATTCACTGTGCCTGGTAACCCTGTACCACAGTTTCCCTGGGACCATTTCTCTAGAGAGTAAACCTTTCCAACTTCTGTTGGGGTGATGGAGGTAGCTTTACAGGGTGGGGAAGCTAATATAAGGGTCCAGGTCTTTCTTTCTTTCTTTCTTTCTTTTTTTTTTTTTTTTTTGAGACGGAGTCTCGCTCGGTCAGCTAGGCTGGAGTGCAGTGGCGCGATCTTGGCTCACTGCAAGCTCCGCCTCCCGGGTTCACGCCATTCTCCTGCCTCAGCCTCCCGAGTAGCTGGGACTACAGGCGGCTGCCACCACGCCTGGCTCATTTTTTGTATTTTTAGTAGAGACGGAGTTTCACCGTGTTAGGTGGGATGCCCTCGATCTCCTGACCTCGTGATCCGCCCGCCTCCGCCTCCCAAAGTGCTGGGATTACAGGCATGAGCCACCGCGCCAGGCCTCCAGTTGTTTCTTGTTCAAATGTTCAACCAATCCTTTTGTTTTCAGCTCCACCCTTAGCCCTGAATGCAGAAGCTCATGGTGACTCCTGCGTCCTGGGCTTTTTGAGTTTTGTTTGATTGGAAAACTTCTTGTTGGATCCCTCTGTTCCCTCCACCATTTCCAGGCAGTCTTGGTTGTGTTTTGTCCATTCTACTAGTTCAGTTATCATCTATTCTATTTCTGTCTGCTGCCATGTTATTAAAATTTGGTCTGCTGGGGTCTCTGCTCATATTCTTTATTATGTCTCTTTATTCCTTTACATTTATTTGAGTGGGATTTTTGGAGGAGAGTAGATGTGTGTCCTCTCTTCCCTTATTAATAGGAAGTGAATAAATTATAAAGAACTAATTTGAGGAGAAAACAACTTTTCTGATAAATGATAAAAGCAAGCTTTTCATCGTATTATGTTGGACTTTTAAACATACTAAACTTGAAGCTTCCTCTTCAAGCAAGAGAATCAAGTAGAGGTTGGGGTGCTTATGTATGATGCAGCATCACAGAGATGCTGAGCTATAAGCAACTTGTAGGTCTTTTGAAACAGAGATTTTCACACTTCTTTAGTGGTAGTACACATTTTTTTAAAAATAAAATTTTACTGGCTGGGTGCCATGGCTCACGCCTGTAATCCCTACATTTTGGGAGGCTGAGACAGGCAGATCACCTAAGGTCAGGAGTTCAAGACCAGCCTGGCCAACATGGTGAAACCCTGTCTCTACTAAAAATACAAAAATTAACCAGGTGTGGTGGCAGGCGCCTGTAATCCCAGCTACTTGGGAGGCTGAGTCAGGATAATCACTTGAACCTGGGAGGTGGAGGTTGCAGTGAGCCAAAATCATGTCACTGTACTCCAGCCTGGGTAACAGAGCAAGACTCCATCTCAAAAAAAAAAAAAAAAAATTACTTGCACTTCAATATATAAAACAGAAAAAAGTTATTTTCTCCTCAGCAATTTAAAGTGTTCTTGTTATACAACCCCTGAACTCCTTTTAAGAGCTTTGGGATCCCTTTGCGCCCAGATGGAAAATCATTGCTGTAGGGACAGCAATTTACATTTCGTTAGCTCAAACAGTATGTACAACCATTTTTTTCTGGTATAGGAGTATTAAGAAGTAATTATTTAAAAAATTTTATTGATACATAATAGATGTATATATATTTGGGGGTAAATGTGATAATTTAATACATCCATGTAATTTGTAAAGATTCAATCAGTGCCATTGGGATATCTGTCACTTTAAATATTTGTCCTTTATAAGAAGCAATAATATTAAACTTTATTGGGCACTCACTATGTTTGGGACATTATGTTAATGGGCTTTATATACATGATCTCATTTAATTCTCACAACAATGCTGTGAGGTAGATGTAATGATTATTTCCATTTTGTAGATGAGGAAATGGAGGCCTGGAGAGGTTACGTACTTATTCATGGATACACAGCTAGGAAGTGGAAGAGCTGGGACCCAAAGCCCACTCACTTAACCAGGACACGACCTTGGGCCTGGTCTGCTGGGGTCTCACTTCCCAAACCCCTCACCCCCCCATGCCCAGCACCTGGAACCATCACTGTGGGGGCTGTACACTGAGGGTTGTCTCCCATTTGTGACAAAACTATAATGGACTAGAGTGAAACAAAAACGCAATGTATGTCTCTAATCTTCAGGCAACGCCAGCTCCCAGACACCCCGCCCTATTCTGCATCCGACTCATGCTCTCCTCCGCAGGTCAAAGGTGAGTGCGATCCACCTTCAGCACATCTGGCACTGTTGCTCTTCCTCCTCGACTCTGGGCCGTGAGAAAGGGGCACTTCCTGCTTGTGTCTCTCCCCAGGTGCATGCTACCCAACCCTGAGGCCCACAGCTGGGAGGACTCCAGCTCCTTTTCTCCACCCCACAGCTGCTCCTGCGATGCCGCCCATGCACCCGCTGCAGAGCACCTCTGGAATGGGCGACTCCTGCCAAATCCACGGAGGCTTTCACAGCTGCCACTCAAACGCCAGTCATCTTGCCACCCCCCTGGACCAATCCGTGTCCTCCCATCTGGGGATAGGTTGTTCTTACCCTCAGCAGCCTCTGTGTCACAGCCCTGGGTAAAGAAAAAGATATTTAGTTATCAAAGACCTTTGCGGAAAGCCTCGGAGCAGCCTGCCTCTGGCAGGCACCTAGAGAGAATGCACAGTGGAGTCCTGTCCAGGAGATGGCAGTGTTGAGACGCGTATAGGACATCGCGAGGTCCCAGTGTTCTTGGCTTAGACAATCTTTTAATTAAAAACCCTCCAAATCCAAGGTCCTCATTCAACCAAAAGCTAAAATGTCAGAAATATACAGTGAGGTTCTGGATGATGGAGGAAACACCGTAAGCTTATGCAGCCTCAGCTAGACTACCCAAAGGGATTGTGAATGAGCTCTCCGAGAAATATCTGCTAATTAAGCATTAACTAATGTTCTTTTCTTCTGTCTTCTCCCCTTTTCTTTCTTTTATTTCCTCTTCTGGATCTAGAGAGTGCCAGAAAGAGTAAAGGCTATCAAAAATTGTGGTAAAACTCCACATGAAAAAAGTTGTCGGGTGTAAAATGTATACCTATATTTTAAGTCTGTATCTTCCCTGTCTCAATGAGTCCTCTGCCATTATAAACATTGTCAGCTTATCTTTCAGGTTGGTGAATCTCAGATCCACTTGATCAAGGGAAATAGTTTCAGCCTAGTAGGGCTCAAGGAACCTTAACTAATTGGAATTAGACTTAGGAAAGCAGAGAGCCTGGGAGATTAAATTTTATTTAACATAACATGGAACACAAGGAAGAATCCTAACCTTCGTTTTGGTGTCTTGATTTTAGAGCCTCATTGCCTCCAACCAAGAAGAGAAAGTGCACGCAGGCACTGGAGGACTCCGGGGAATGCCGAGTGTGGGCCTGCCACTGCAGACCGAGTGAGCAAACCTGGGTGGGAACAAGGGCGATGCCATCAAAGCCTTGGGCATTAAAGCAAGGCTTTTTACCAGCCTTTGAGCAGCCCTGCAAAAGTTTCCCTCTCACAGAAGAGCAATGATAAGCTCTGGTAGTTTGGTTCTTCCCTCTTGATGTACCTTTCATGCAGGCGGGGTCACACAGGTCCTCCTAGGAAGAGATGATGTTTCCCGTCTCAGGTGTGGGTGAAGTGCCAATCTTTCAATTTCAGGGACGATGTGTCTCAGAGGATTCAGGCTCCAGGCCTGTGGAAGCTGTGCAGTATGGCAGTGCCTTCAAGAGCCTGCTGGTGTGCCCATTGCATTGCTGCAATCCTTCTCAACCTTAATGTGCAAGAAATAGCATGAGGATCTTGGTAAAATGCAGACTCTGATTCAGTCTCTAGGGTCTGAGTTCTGCATTTCTAACAAGCTCCCAGGTGATGGCGATGCTACTGGCTCATGGAAGGCACTCTGAGAAGCAAGACTTACCGTGTTTTTCCACTAGAACAGGGAGGTGGAAAGTTGAACTTTTCCTCAAACTCACTTCAAATTGGCAAGTTCCCAGTGGATGTTTGAAATTTGAAATCATTTTAGAAGTCTTTCATCCGAGTCATCTAATGTCCAAGCGGTCAGCCTTCCTGTTTTTTTTTTTTTTTTTTGTCTTATATAACGTGTAACACATCATGTTTTGAGCCAAGAGACCTGATTAACAAAGTAGCCTTTTGAAGTCCAAAGACTTGAACTTCAAAATTTTCAGAGTAAATGCTATGGCACATACTAGGGGAAAAGGATAACACTCTAGGCCAGTTTCTGTTTGTTTGTTTGTTTGCTTATTTGTTTTGTAAAGATGGGTTTCACTAAGTTGCCCAGGCTGGTCTTGAATTCCTGGCTTCGAGTGATTCTCCCACCTCAGCCTCCCAAAGTCTTTGGATTGCAGGCATGAGCCACCATGTCTGGCCTCAACCCAGTTCTATTAGCAACTGTAAACACTCAAATGTGGGCAGTGTGAACAAATTCAGCGTACCAAGTCCCATTTCTTCTATCCCAGTTTGTCACCTTAGCAAGAGGTTGAAGACTTCCTTCTTGGGTTCCCCCATCCCACCACTTCCCCAGATTCTAGAGGTTTACACTGTCCAGAAAGGAGATGTGCGTGGCTTCACCTGAGTGGGAAAAAACACAGTCTCTCTTGCTGGGGCTGCTGCCTTTTCCTTTGACAGCCCCATGGTAAGAGCTGATTCTCTGAGGGACCTTTGGCGTCAGCTCCAGCGTGGGCTGTGGAGGCCTTCTGTGGATGATGACTTCACCCTGTCAGTCAAGTCCCACCCATCTCCTGGGAGTGCGGTCTCAGAATTGCACTGGGCATCTATCCCTCATATCAACTAAACCTCAAACTGCCTCCTTTCTTTGTATATGCATCCAACATGGTCAGCAGTTGTTCACCATTTTTTTTCCAACCTTAGAAACACAAAATGCTAATTAAAGCCCCATTTGTGGATAAGTTAGAGCTTTCCATCCACCTTCCTATGCAATGCTACCCTAATTTCTTCAGGGATCCCCACATCTAGCCTGTAGCTTTTTTTATGATTCTCAGACATAAAAGGCTGAGTAAATCCCTAGCCAGACGGGGGAACCATCTGTTCATTCTACTGCAGATGCGCTAGCTCACTAAGGGATACAGGACAAGTCACTCAAACCTTCCAAGAATTCCCTCATCAAACCAGATTGCTGCTCAAATTGTCCTGGCCATCCCAGAGTTAAGCTCCATCCTGCGATGGTTTTCTGCTGCCTGTCCCAGAAAGGTCATTGATTCATCACCATCTTCAGAGAACAACCATGGAAGAGTGATGGAAATTACTAGGATTTCCAGCAGATAGGAAATCCTATATCCCTTGTTTAAGTCCTATTCACAGGTCACTGAAAAGCTGACTAAAGATAACTGATTCCAGACAACAGTTCCAGAATGAAAATGAGCAGGTTCCCAAGGCCAAAAAAAGAAAAAAGAAAGAAAGAAAAAAAAGACACAAAACAAAACATTTAGTTAATCCGAATGCCACATTCTTATTACAGTTTGTATTTTTAGCGAAAGTTTTCTAGTCAATAATTCCTATTTGATGTTGCAGGGGCCAACATTTCTACAAAGGTCCTGGGGAAACAGCACATTGCTAGAGGAAGGAGGAGGTTATGCCAGTCTTACAGGCAGAAGGATCACCAATTTTTGATCAGAGATGGCCTGAGTCAATCAATAAAACTTTTCTAGTGACCTCCTCCCAAGTAGTACACTTTGGCCAAGGGTTCCAAGATCCTCATTTATAGGGCTGAAAATGTAGAATTACTGGGTTGGCGTGGGCAAATGTAAAATTTTGCTTAGAGAGGAAGTGCTGGTAGGCAGGCTTCTACCAGCTGGTTCCTGGCCCTACTTGGTCTGAACCCCAAATGAAAAAAGGGTTCATGGCCTCCCTGGAAGGCTTCAATCTTCTCTTATTTTGAACCTCAAATACAAAAGGGTTTTCCAGCCCTAGAGTCATGGCCAGTGGCCCACAGTAAGAGGTGCACTGGCTGAATTCACACTGTAGCATCAGAAAATGTACCTATCTCATCTCTCCAGGAATCTGGGATTCCCAGAGCCTTATTTTTCTTGATTATGAAACGAGAATAATAATTTTGACTTTACCCATCTCTAAGACTTTTTAAAGTAAGTTATGCAAACATATTTTGAAAGGCATTCAAATGCAAGCTATCAGTTTTCTCCAAAAGGTCTGGACTTAGGCAGTTTGCTGCTTTTACATTCTCACTTCTGTTAGATTTTCTCAAGAGATCCTCAATCTAGCATGAAGCGAAGAGGAAGATTTGAATCTCACCTCTTCCACTTAACAGCTGTGACACTGGGCAAGTTATTTCAGGTCTTTGAAAGTCAGTTTCCACATTTGTTAAATGAGATTAAGAATCCTTACCTCATAACCACTTTAGAAATCCTTTTGGCAGTATCTACTAAAGCATGTCCTGCAACCCATAGATTCCATCCCTAGAAGTATAACTAGCAGGAATGTGTACATATGCCCACCAAAAGACATTCATAAGAATGTCCAGAGCAGCATTACTTGTAACAATCACAAACCAAAAAGATACCAAATGGCCATCAACGGCAAGATAAATTGTGGTATATTTATACAATGGAGTACAATATGGCAATGAGAATGAGCAAAGCACTGCCATTTGCAACACTAATGAATGAATCCCATAAACATACTGTTGGGCAAAAGAGGCCGGTGAGGCCAGGGATGGTGGCTCATGCCTGTAATCTCAGCACTTTGGGAGGCTGAGGTGGGTGGATCGCTTGAGCCCAGAAGTATGAGACCAGCCTGGGCAACAAAGTAAGATCCTGTCTCTACAAAAAGTAAAAAAAAAAAAAAAAAAAAATTAGCCGATGTGGTGGCACATGCCTGTGGTCCCAACTACACAGGAGGCTGAGGTGGGAGGAAAGCTTCAGCCCAGGAAGTTGAAGCTACAGTGAGCTATGATTGTGCCATTGCACTCCAGCCTGTGTGACGGAGCAAGACCCTGTCTAAAAAAGAAAAAAAAAGAGGCCAGCCCAGCATACAAGAGTATATATTACATCATAGTATTCCATTTCCATAGTATTCCATATAAACTCTGCTATGGTGTTAGATTGTAGGATAGTGGTCAGTCTTGGGGAGGAGAGACTAATTATTGACAGGGGGCATGTAGGTGTCTCCTGCAGGGCTCAAAGCATCCTATACCACTAGATCATTTTGTAAAGTATAAAATAGTGTACTTATGATCTGTGTACTCTTCTTGATGTACACTGTCCTTCAAAAAAGAAAGTTTATGGAACAAAAGGATTCTTACCTGGGAGATAATTTAAGGAGCTGATGGAATACTATGTAATGTGTCTGGGACAGCACCTGTGGTGCAGAAAGCACTCAAAGTAGGAGACATTGTTAGTAGTATTAATATGAATAAGTTCTAGCACTAGGCTCAGGTGTGTGCCTTGGGTTTCAGTGTGGGCCTGTAATTCCAGGTTCTGATCCCTAGGCTTTTC